>NT_187652.1:0-130957 GCF_000001405.40 Homo sapiens
TCCCCTTCCCTCAGCCTCTGGCAACCACTATTCTACTTTCTGTTTCTATGAATTAGACTATTCTAGAAATCTCATATAAGTGGAATTATACAGCATTTCTGTTTTTGTAACTGGTTTATTTCACTTTGCAAAATGTGTTCAAAGTTCAAACTCATGTTGTAGCATGTGTCAGAATTTCTTTTTAAAGCTGAATAATATTCTATTATATGTATTTATCACATCTTGTTTACCCATTCATCTGTCACTGAACACTTGGATTTCTTCCATCTTTTCCCTATTGTGAATAATGCTGCTGTGAACATGGGTATATGGCGATCTCCTTGAGACCCTGCTTTTCAATTCTTTTTGGGTCTATACCCCAAAACAGAATTGCTTTATCATATGGTAATTCTATTTTTAACTTTTTGGGAAACTGCCATACTGTTTTCCAATGTGACTTCACCATTTTCCATTCCCACCAATAGTGCACAATGGTTTCAATTTCTACACACCCTTGCCAACACTTTTTATTTTCTGCTCATTTTTTAAATAGTAGCCATCATAATGGGTATGAAGTAGCATCTCATTATCATTTCAATTTTAAT
Organism: Homo sapiens; assembly: GCF_000001405.40. Lineage (NCBI taxonomy): Eukaryota > Metazoa > Chordata > Mammalia > Primates > Hominidae > Homo > Homo sapiens. Next base: position 585 of record NT_187652.1, read on the forward strand.
TTTTGCTTTTTTTTTTTTTTTTTGAGACAGGGTCTCTCTCCCGTTGCCCAGGCTGGAGTGCAGTGGCACAATCATAGCTCACCGCAGCCTTGACTTCCCAGGCTCAGGTGCTTTTCCTACCTCAGCCTCCTGAGTAGCTGGACTTCAGGCACGCACCACCCCACCCAGCTAATTTTTGTATTTTTGGTAGAGACCGGGTTTTACCCTGTTGCCCAGGCTGGTCTTGAACTCCTGGGCTCAAGCCATCCTCTCACTTCGGCCTCCCAAAGTACTGAGATTGTAGGTATGAGCCACCATGCCTGGCCTGATTTGCATTTTCCTAATGATTAGTGATTGTTCTAACAGTTTTTGTTTGTTTGTTTGTTTGTTTTTTAGTGGACTCTTCAGGGTTTCCTACATTAAATGTGTAATCTGAGAAGAGAGATAATTTTATGTGTTTTTTTTTCCAATTTAGATGCTTTTTATTTCTTTTTCTTACCTGCTTGCTCCAGTTAGGACTTCCAGTACTATGTTGAATAGAAGTGGCAAAAGCAGGCATCTTTATTCTTGTTTGTGATCCTAGACCTTTTGGTCTTTAACCATTTAACATGTTAGCTGTAAGCTTTACATATATGGCCTTTATTATATTGAGGTAGTTCTCTTTTATTTCTAGTTTGCTGGGTACTTTTTATCATGAAAATATGTTGAATTTTGTCAAACGTTCTTTCTGAATCAATTGAGATGATCATGTGGTTTTGTGTTTAATTCTATTTATGTGGAGAAATGCATTTTTTTTTTCGAGATGGGAGTCTCACTCTGTGACTCAGGCTGGAGTGCACTGGCGCGATCTCAATTCACTGCAACCTCCATCTCCTGGATTCAGATTCTCGTGCCTCAGCCTCTCGAGTAGCTGGGATTACAGGTGCCCGCCATCACTCCCGGCTAATTTTTGTGTTTTTAGTAGAGACAGGGTTTCACCATGTTGGCCAGGCTGGTCTCAAACTCCTGACCTCAGGTGATCCGCCCACCTTGGCCTCCCAAAGCGTTGGGATTACAGGCATGAGCCACTGCACCTGGCCGCATTCATTGTTTTTTGTATGTTAAATCATCCTTGCATTCCAGAAATAAATCCCACTTGGTCGTGGTATGTAGTAATTTTAAAGCATTGTTGAATTCTGTTGGCTAGTATTTTGTTAAGGATTTTCACTTCAGTGTTTACCAGGGATACTGGTCTGTGTGGTTTTCTTTTCTTGTAGTGTATTTGTTTGGCTTTTATATTAGGGTAATGCTGGCCTTATAGAATAAGTGGGGGGTGTCCTCTCTTCAGTCTTTTTAACAGTTTAGGAGGATTGCTGTTAATTTTTCTATAAATGTTTGGTAGAATTTACTAGTGAAACCATCTTATTCTAGGGTTTTGTTTTTTTTTTTTTTGGTTGTTGTTGAAAGGTTTTTGGCTATAGATTCAATCTCCTTATTAATTGTAGTCTATTCCAGTTTTCTGTTTCTCCAGATTCACTCTTGGTAGATTGTGTATTTCTAGGATTTTATTCATTTCATCTAGTTATCTAATTTTTCATCATATAGGTATTCACATTACTAGCTTATGATCCTTTTTATTTCTGTAAAAGCAGCAGCAATATCTCCTTTCATTTCTGATTTTAGTTATTTGAGACTTCTCTCTTATTTTCTTAGTCAGTTGGCAGTTTTGCTGATCTTATGGAAGAACCAACTCTTGTTTTTTAATTTTAAAAGTTGTTTTCTATTCTCTATTTTGTTGATCTTTGCTCAAATCTTCATTATTTCTTTTCCTCTGCGAGGTTTCAGTTTCATTTTTTATTTTTCTAGTTCCTTAAGGTGTAAAGTTACATTGTTGATTTGGGTTCTTATTTGGTATGCAAGCAATTACAGCTGTAAATTTCCTTTTTAGTACTATGTTTGCTGCATCCCACACATTTTGGTACATTTGTTTTTATTTTCATTTGTCTGAAGATATTTTCTAATTTCCCTTGTGATTTTTTTCTTTTGACCCATTGTTATTTGAGAGTGTATTGTTTTGTTCTCTCTTTTGTTTTCTTTAGAGATGAGCTCTTGCTCCATCATCCAAGTTGGAGTGCAGTGGCATGATCAAAGCTCACTGCAGCCTCAAATGCCTGGGCTCAAGTGATCCTTCCACTTCAGCCTCCTGAGTATCTGGGATTAAGGAATGTGTTGTTTAATTTTCATGTATTTGTGGATTTTTCAGCACAACTTTTGCTATTGGTTTCTTTCCATTGTGATTGGAAACAATATTTTGTATGATTTTAATCTTTTAAAATTCATTAAGACTTGTTTTGTGGCCTAACACATCCTCTATCCTGGAGAATGTTTCATAATGCACTTTAAAAAAAGTATATTCTATTGTTAGGTGGATTGTGTTGTTTATGTCTGTTAGGGCCATTTCGTCTATAGTGTTGTTCAAGTTCTTGTATTTCCTTATTGATCTTCTGTCTAGTTGTTCTATCCGTTATTGAAAGGGTAGTACTGAAGTCTCCTACTATTTTTTCAAGTTGTCTATTTCTGTCTTCAATTCTGTCAATGTTTGCTATGTATATTTAGGCTCTAATATTTATTGCATAAATGTTTTTAATTGTTATATCTTCTTGGTGAATTGACCCTTTCACCATTATATAATATTCTCCTGTTTCTTGTAACAGTTTTATTTTTACTTAGTGTCTATTTTTAGGCTGGGAGTGGTGGCTCACGCCTGTAATCCCACACTTTGGGAGGCCAAGGCAGGTGGATCACCTGAGGTCAAGAGTTCGAGACCAACCTGGCCAACATGGCAAAACCCCTTCTCTACTAAAAAATACAAAAAAAAACTTAGCTGGGTGTGGTGGCACGCACCCATAGTCCCAGCTGCTTGGGAGGCTGAGACACGAGAATTGCTTGAACCTGGGAGGTGGAAGTTGCAGTGAGCCGAGATCACGCCACTGCACTCCAGTCTGGATGACAGAGTGAGACTCCATCTTAATTTAAAAAAGAAAAAAAAGTCTATTTTTTTCCCTCTGTGTTTCTCTCTGTCTCTCTCTTTTCTTTCTGGAATTCCAATAGCTTATAACTTGGTCCACTTGATGTTGTTCCATATGCTCCCTAGGCTCTGTTCACTTTTCTTCATTGTTTTTTTCTTTTTGCTTCTCAGACTTGATAATTTCAAATGATGTTTCTTCAAGTTCACTGATTCTTCTGCCCATTCAATTCTGATTTTGAACCCCTCTAGTTAATTTTCCAATTCAGTTAGCTTATTTTTCAACTCTAGGATGTCTGTATGGTTCTTTTTAAAAATAATTTGTCTCTTTGCTGATATCCTATTTTGTTCATGTATTGTTTTCCTGCTTCCTTTAATTCAGTGTCTCATTGAGTATATTTAATAAAGACCATTGTTTTAAAGTCTTTGTTTAGTAAGCCTGAAACCTGTGTTTCTTTAGAGTTGGTTTTTGGAGATTTATTTTGTTGACTTTGATCAGGCCGTATTTTCCTGTTTCTTTGTGTGCCTTGTGATTTTAAGAAGGCGTTTGAAAAAACAGCCACCTGTCCTAAGGGACCTAAAATCTCCCCTTTCTACCTATGCAGTGCTCCACTCTGCTGGTTTGTGCTGCTCTGTCTTGGTATTCCCCCAAATATTTTAAATTATTTTTTTCATTTTCATGTAATTTTTTATTTTTTGAAATGGAGTCTCACTCTGTCACCCAGGCTGGAGTGCAGTGGCACGATCTCGGCTTACTGCAACCTCCGCCTTTTGGGTTCAAGCAATTCTCCTGCCTCAGCCTCCTAGTAGCTGGAACTATATGCATGTACCACCACGCCTGGCTAATTTTTGTATTTTTAGTAGAGATGGGGTTTCACTATATTGGCCAGGCTGGTCTCGAACTCCTGATCTCAGGTGATCTGCCTGCCTCAGCCTCCCAAAATGCTGGGATTACAGGCATGAACCACCATACCCGGCCTATTCTTTTCATTTTCATACAGAGCAACTCAACTCTCCCATGACCATACCCAATCTAAACACTTAAACCCATCTTTATATGGAGAATCGGTGAGGCCTCTGTTTTGCATATCCAAACACTTAAGGGAGCAGTAGGAATTCTGTAGAGCAATATTTTTTGTTTGTTTTGAATTACATCTATGGATATTTCCTCTATAAATGGTTTCCTAATTTTTCCCTTTTTAGTTTTTTCACCAAAATTCTTATTGGCCTCTCAATAACTCTTATTGTTGTTGTTGTCAAGACAGAGTCTTGTTCTGTCCTCCAACCTGGAGTGCAGTGGCATGATCTCGACTCACTGCAACCTCCATCTCCTGGATTCATTCGATTCTCTTGCCTCAGCCTCCTGAGTAGCTGGGACTACAGTTGTGCATCACCATGCCCAGCTAATTTTTGTATTTTTAGTAGAGACAGGGTTTCACCATGTTGGCCAGGGTGGTCTCAAAATCCTTACATCAGGTGGTCTACCCGCCTCAGCCTCCAAGGTGCTGGGATTACAGGTGTGAGCCACCACACCAGCTTAAATAATTCTTAAAATTAGTAATTTTTGGTAAAATTTTTAAATATATTTTGTATAAGTTTATATCTAGGTATTTTATCATATAAACATTTAAATATATGAATATATATTTATATTTTAAAATCACATATATATGACTAAAGCAGAACATATATATATCTGCTTTAGTTCTGAATATTAGTCTGGTATATAATTAAGTTGTAACATTATCAGCTTTGTGATATAAAATTTTAAGCTGCTGAAATGAAACTCTATCCTTTCTTTAGTTTGATTTCTTCACTTACCTGATAATTCTAATTATCTTCCAGTTGTTCTGCTTCTCTGGCTGAACCCTGACGGATACATACCCATATGTTGAGGCTTTGCCAGAGGTGACAAGTCTGTTTTCTTTTACAACATCAGCTTCTCTAAAGTCCTCTGACCCCCAAAGGACTTATACTTCAAGACTCCCCTACTCTTCTTTCACTGTAAGATTTTTCCCCTGTCCCTCTACACATCCTGTCATCTCTGGCATTACTATTTATGGCCTGATTCTGCCTTGAATGACCCTGAAGTCCCCAAGACTCACATGTGTAAAAAATTTCTTAGTTTGATTTTGATCAGCTCCTAAGAGAGAATTTCTAGGTGAGAGAAGGAACTGTAAAAACGGTCCATCAACTGCATTCTTCAAAAATGTTGATGTCATAATAGGCACAGAAATGCTGGGGAACCTTTATAGATTCAAGGAGACTAAGGACATATAATAACTAAATATAGTATGAGGTTCTAGACTGGAACATGTACTGAAAGAAAAGAATGCTATAAAGAACATTTCTGGCTAAATTGACACAAATGAAATACAGACAGTAGATTAAATAAAATTCCATGTTTCTGTTCAATTTACCAACATCGATAACTATACTGGGGGTAGGAAACAGAACATCCTATTTCTTAGGAAATACTGAAATATTTAGGGGTAAAGGGTAAGATGTATGCAACTTACAATGTGATAGGTCTTGGATTTGTGTCCCTGAGAAAATTTCCAATTGTAAACCCCAGTGTTGGAGGAGGGGCCTGGTGAGAGGTGACTGGATCATCGGAGCGAATTTCCCCCTTGCTGTTCTCGTTACAGTGACTGAGTTCTTATGACATCTGGCTGTTTAAAAGTATGTGGCACCTCCCTGTCTCTCTGTTTCCTGAGACCTGCCCAGCCATGCTTCCTGTACAGCCTATGGAACCACGAGCCAATTAAACCTCTTTTTTTTTTTTTTTTTTTTTTTTTTTTTGAGACAGCTTTTTGCTCTGTAGCCCAGGCTGGAGTGCAGTGGTGCAATCTAGGCTCACTGCAAGCTCCGCCTCCCGGGTTCACACCATTCTCCTGCCTCAGCCTTCCAAGTAGCTGGGACTACAGGCGCCCGCCACCACGCCCGGCTAATTTGATTATATTTTAAGTAGAGACGAGGTTTCACCATCTTGGCCAGGCTGGTCTTGAACTCCTGACCTCGTGATCCACCCGCCTTGACCTCCCAAAGTGCTGGAATTACAGGTGTGAGCCACCGTGCCTGGCCCAATTAAACCTCTTTTCTTTATAAATTACCCAGTCTCAGGTAGTTCCCTATAGCAATGTGAGAACGGACTAATGCACAATTGCCAAATGTTTAGACAAAAGAGTAGTAACGTAGATATATGTAGAGAAAGCAAATGGAGGCTGGGCACAGTGACTCAGGCCTGTAATCTCAGCACTTTGGGAGGCCAAGGCGGGTGAGGCCAGGAGTTTGAGACCAGCCTGGCCAACATGGAGAAACTCCATCTCTACAAAACATACAAAAAATTAGCGGGTGTGGGGGTGCACGCCTGTAATCCCAGCTACTCAGGTGGCTGAGACATGAGAATCGCTTGAACCTGGGAAGCGGAGGTTGCAGTAAGCCAAGATCGCGCCACTGCACTCCAGCCTGGGTGACAGAGTAAGACTGTGTCTCAAAAAAATAAATAAATAAAAATAAAACTAAAAAAAGAAAAAAAGTGGAACAAAATGCTACAATTCGGTGAATCTGTGTCACAGGAATAGCAGTGCTTTTTACTATTCTTGCAACTTTTCTGTAAATTTGAATTTTTCCAAATAAAAAGTTTTAAAAAATGGCCCATGACTCTGTTCCCCTCAATTTTATCTCCCCTTTGAGAGACTCTGACTTTAGTCTCAACATTGCCCCCAGATGTGTGCTAGTCCAACTTGAAATGTTATACCAGTTTCTGTCTCAGGCAAGAGCAGTCGGATATACTTATCACAACTGAGTTTCTAACATCCATGTATACAGAATATAGAAAAGGAACACAAGGGGAAATTAAGTAAAAAACATACATTACAGGCCGGGCGCGGTGGCTCATGCCTGTAATCCCAGCACTTTGGGAGGCAGAGACGGGTGGATCACCTGACATCAGGAGTTCGAGACCAGCCTGGCCAGCATAGCGAAACCCCATCTCAACCAAAAATACAAAAAATTAGCCAGGCATGGTGGCGGTGCTTGTAATCCCAGCTACTCGGGAGACTGAGGCAGAAGACTTGGTTGAACCTGGGAGGCGGAAGTTGCAGTGAGCCAAGATCGCACTGCACTCCAGCCTGGGCAATAGGAGCAAAACTTCATCTCAAAAAAAAATTAAAAAATAAAAAATATACATTACATACAAAAATACAAAATGAATGCAGAAATACAAAGAATCACATTTACGTGATTTCAGATACTGAGAATCAGAGTGTAGATTTTAGAGTCAGTAACATCTGAGTTCTAACCTTTGCTCTGTCACATGATAGTCATGTGACCTGGACCAGGACATTTTACCTCTTTCTACTTCAGTTTTTGTATCTTGGTAGGGACTTGTAAATCCTCAGTGTATGCAGCAAAAAAAAAAAAAAAAAAAAAAATACAAAATACAGGGAAAATGTAGGAAAAATATCTAAATATATATATATATGAAGATTCCTGAAAAAGAGGGGTAAGGAAGAAAACTAGACACCAAATAGTTTCCTACTCCAAGATTTTAGAGACTTCAGTGGTATTCTTGGAGTCTGAAAAGCTTTGTAGTTTCCAAGAATTTCTGGTTGCAATGGGGTAGGGAAAAGATTGGGGAAAGAGAGGGACCTTATTTCCTACGGTCCTTCTGAGAGCCATATGCTTTATATGTGTACTCATTTAGTACCTAGGACCTTCTGACACTTTCTTATGTTGCTGGTGGAAGTATAAATTATTAAACCTCTTCATAGGTGTTTTGGCAATATATATCCAAATAAAAAAGTGCAGATGTGTACAATGAAGGTTGTATAGGGATATTCACTGCAATATTGTTCTAATATTGTTCTAAAAGCAAATTCATGAAGGGATCAGTTGAATATTATATATTCATATAAAGACTGCCACCATTGAGAAGAATGAGACGTCTGCATTTTCTGACAAGAAATGATTTCCTATACATATTTACCATAGGAAGCAAGTTGTGTAAGGAATGCTACCTTTTTGGCAGTGTGTTGGGAGAGGTTATGCACACACCTATCTACCTTGCCCAGGTGCTTACTTACACTGTCTCTGGAAGGCCACACAAGAAATTTAACTTTTTCAGAAGAGAAGTTTGGGGACACAGGATGGAGGGAAGCTTTTCAATCTATTCCCTTTTATACATTTTACATTTGTTACCAAGTGCACGTGTTGCCTTTTAAAAATTGGGTTTTTAAACACATTTACCACTACTACTCACCACCAAAACCTTCCCCCCTCAGCTCTTCTCCAGGGCCTTGACTGGCGCTGGCAGCTCACCACCCCTTTTTTCTCCAGCAAGAAGCCACTGGTTTAAGGGAGATATGAGAGGTGGGGTGGATACGCAGGTGGACATTTACTTTTCACTCTATATCTTTTATTTTTATATTTACAATCATGTGCATGTAATACTGTTACAGGAAAAGGGTCCCAATCCAGACCCCAGGAGTGGGTTCTTGGATCTCACTCAGGAAAGAATTCAGGGCAAGTCCGCAGTGCAAAGTGAAAGCAAGTTTATTAAGAAAGTAAAGGGAATAAAAGAATGGCCACTCCATAGACAGAGCAGCCCCGAGGGCCGCTGGTTGCGCATTTTTATGGTTTTTCCTGATGATATGCTAAACAAGTGGTGGATTATTCATGCCTCCCTTTTTTAGACCGTATAGGGTAACTTCCTGACGTTGCCATGGCATTTACAAACTGTCCTGGCACTGGTGGGAGTGTAGAGGTGAGGATGACCAGAGGTCACTCTCATCGCCATTTTGGTTTTGGTGGGTTTTGGCCGGTTCCTTTACTGCAACCTGTTTTATCATCAAGGTCTTTATGACCTGTATTTTGTGCTGACCTCCTATTTCATCCTGTGATTAGAATGCCTTAACAGTCTGGGAATGCAGCCCAGTAGGTTTAAGCCTCATTTCACCCAGTTCCTATTTAAGATAGAGTTGCTCTGGTTCACACGCCTCTGCCATTACCTTTTAAAAACAAAAAATCCATTTTTATTTAAAAAAAAAAACAAAACCTCCAGACCCCTTCTTAACACCTCTTCCCTCACTCCACACCCGCTAGCCCTTTTCATGGGACAAGCTCACCAGCTGGTCCTTCTCCAGCAAAAAGACCAGAGCTTTCTGCTCTTAAGGGAGGGGACTAGGGATTAGGGAACAACCCCAGAAGAAAGGTGATGAGTTAACTGTTTAGAAGGTTAGTGTTGGTTCTTTTATTCGATTAAACAGGAATACACATATATCTACCAAAGAATAGGTAAGGGAGAAATAAGAACACTAAAAAAACTCGGAATCGTTAAGTGTGAAGCATATTTGGAGTTAAAAGAACCAAATATTACTAAGTAAGCAGACGCGGGCACGCGCTGCATACCGGGATTTGTAGTCCCTTCCGGGGCGGGGTACAGCGCGCCTGCGCAGAGGGGCCGTCCCTCTTCCGGGCGCATGCGTGCGGCAGCGGCGCCAGGACTGACTGCGCCGTGGAGGCTGCTGCAGTGTTGTGAGTTGGAAGCTGGGGAGCTCGGCATGGCGGTCCCCGCTGCAGCCATGGGGCCCTCGGCGTTGGGCCAGAGCGGTCCCGGCTCGATGGCCCCGTGGTGCTCAGTGAGCAGCGGCCCGTCGCGCTACGTGCTTGGGATGCAGGAGCTGTTCCGGGGCCACAGCAAGACGCGCGAGTTCTGGCGCACAGCGCCAAGGTGCACTCGGTGGCCTGGAGTTGCGACGGGCGTCGCCTAGCCTCGGGGTCCTTCGACAAGACGGCCAGCGTCTTCTTGCTGGAGAAGGACCGGTTGGTGAGCTGCCGGGGCTCGGCTCAGGCTAGGGAGAGGGGCCGTGGTGAAGTGAGGTGCGGTAGTGGGAGAGCGAATGGGGGCGAACGGAGCCGCGGGGGTGAAAGGAGAGTGGGTTTGAGGGAAGGGGAAAGGGGGAGTGTGGAGATGAGGAGGGAGTAGGGAGAAGGTGGAGTGTGGGGGTGACGGGGTCGTGAGGGGTGAGGAGAGGAAGACTGGGGGCGTGTGAAGAGTGTGGAAGTAAGGAGGTTGGCGATGGCGGGTGAAGGTGAGGAGAGGGTGGATGGGACAGGGCTGCGATGGGAGCCTTACTCGTTTGGAGTCGAATCCTGTGCTGATAAGAAGTGGCTAGGGGCTGTGGTGGTGGTGGTGGTGGTGGTGGTGGTACGTTGGTGGTACGTTGGTGGTACGTTGGTGGTAGAGTAAGGGTGGAAAACCAGGAAGGAGGAGAAGGCCAGGGAGGGCACAAAAGTAAGGGCATAGGTGTGGAAGCTGAGAAAAACAGTTCAGAAGGCCTGCGGAGAAGAGAAGGGAGAAAGGGCTTGGAGGAACTGGATTCTGAATTACCCAGATCTTTACTGGTCCCAGCATACTTTGGTTTGAATAAGCTTATAAAGTTACATGCGGAGGCAGTTACATCTATGTGAAGTCACATCTGGATTCTGTTCTTTCAGGTCAAAGAAAACAATTATCGGGGACATGGGGATAGTGTGGACCAGCTTTGTTGGCATCCAAGTAATCCTGACCTATTTGTTACGGCGTCCGGAGATAAAACCATTCGCATCTGGGATGTGAGGACTACAAAATGCATTGCCACTGTGAACACTAAAGGTGACTATTCAGAGAGAGGGCAATAGGAAGATAAGCTGTTTGGATTCATTCAACAACCATTTTCCGAATATCTTTTCTGTGCCTGGCACTCAGCTGTGTATGAGACATCCTGAGCTGAATAAGAGTTTCCAGCTCCAAGGACCTCCCCTGCGGGGAGAAGACATATATATACAAATAACATAGCAAGATATGGTTCATTTTATAATGGAGAGGTCTGCAAGGTGGATACCCAGAATAGAAATGAAAACAAAAGTCTGCCTAGGGGAGCCAGGGAAGGCCTCACCAAATTTGAGCAAACTTTTAGGGTAGCCATAGGAGTTGAGTGGTCAGGGTGCTGTGGGTGGGGAATGGGACATTTCCAGGAGGGAACAGCATGTGCAAAGGCATGGAGAATTTGGAAAATTCTGATGAGTTAGAATGGTTGAAACTTGGATGGTCTTGGTGATCTGGGAGAAAGTTGTGCAGTACATTTATAGGCTCTGTTGTAAGTATTGAGGCCGGTATTGTATGGGACTCTGAGTTTTCATTGATCGTAAGATGTTCCATTAGGAAAGAAAGTTGGTAAATAACTGTGATACACCCAAAATTTTGAAATGCTTTCTGATACATTTTAAGATACAGTGTAGATACTAAAATGTGAGAAAATATGCGTTTTAGAATGGAAAAAGTTGGTGAAATTTTTAATTGATGTGTTCAGTGTGGGCCACTGGACTTTGTTGACAAGACTTATCTCTGGAGGCGGAATGGTGTGGTTTTTCCCCAAGTATACAGCTGCTGATCCATGAGTGATTCAGGTGATGCGTGGGTGAACATTAAAAACCAGTTTTGCAAATATCTTAATGTCTACTAGAAGAACTAGCACATAGAATTTATTATTCAGTTGAAGCTAAATTTATTTTATTTTTATTTATTTTATTTTATTTTTATTTTTGAGACAGGGTCTTGCCCTGTTACCCAGGATGGAGTACAGTGGCATAATATTGGCTCCCTGCAGCCTCCACCTGGGCTCAAGCCATCCTCCCACCTCAACCTCCTGAGTAGCTGGGACTACAGGCACATGCCACCATGCCTGGCTAATTTTTTGTAGAGACGGGTTTTGCCATATTGCCCAGGCTGATCTTGAACTCCTGGACTCAAGTGATCTGCCTACCTTGGCCTCCCAGAGTGCTGGAATTACAGGCTTGAGCCTCCACAGCTGGCTGCTAAATTTATTTAAGTAAACTTTTTTGAATCAATTTTAAGAAAAATCTTGAATAAAGAAAAGTATAGTGTTTAATGGATAGGACAAAAATTGTGATGTTGGCATGCGAATGGCTGGAGTTGAGAAATGCTGGTGTAAGAGAAAAGGGGGCTTTGGGGTCAAATCTGGGTTTAAAATCTTGGCTCGGCCGGGCACGGTGGCTCACACCTGTAATCCCAGCACTTTGGGAGGCCAAGGCGGGCGGATCACGAGGTCAGGAGATCGAGACCATCCTGGCTAACACGGTGAAACCCCGTCTCTACTAAAAATACAAAAAAATTAGCCTGGTGTGGTGGCAGGCGCCTGTAGTCCCAGCTGCTCGGGAGGCTGAGGCGAGAGAATGGCGTGAACCCAGGAGGTGGAGCTTGCAGTGAGCCGAGATCGCGCCACTTCATAGCTCTTTGACTTCATAGCTTTGACACTTTGGCTTGTCGTCTTATCTCCTATTTCCTTCATCTATAAAATCTTATAGATTTTATAAATGGAGATAATAAAGTGTATGTTAGAGGAGTATTGTGAAGACCAAATGGGGAAATGTGTAGATGAAAGTTCTGGACTTATTGTTGAATCGTAAGTGGTAGCTCCCTTCCATTGTCTAGGACTTTAATGAGTAAGCCCGGAAGAAAGCTCTGGTCTTCTTTCTAGGATAGTGCAATAAACTTGTAGAGGATTATGAGCAAACAGATTATCTTGCTGATTATGTCTGGGTTCCCAGGGGAGAACATTAATATCTGCTGGAGTCCTGATGGGCAGACCATTGCTGTAGGCAACAAGGATGATGTGGTGACCTTTATTGATGCCAAGACACACCGTTCCAAAGCAGAAGAGCAGTTCAAGTTCGAGGTCAACGAAATCTCCTGGAACAATGACAATAATATGTTCTTCCTGACAAATGGCAATGGTTGTATCAACATCCTCAGGTGAGGGGGTCTAGCTTAGGGGACTGTCATGTCTTTGTGCTGGGTGCTGTGTCAGATATGGAGATGAATTAGATGTGAGCCTATCCTGAAGGAGCTTAAAACACAAATAGTAAGAGAGAATCCTAACCTGTCTTAAGTACATTTGAGCTGTATATTTTATATACTTTATATTTTACTGAGTCCTTACAGAAATTCTAGGGGTTGATGATTTGCTTCTCATTTGACAGATGAGGATCTGAGGGTGAGAGGTTACATCAGTAGTCAGCTAGTGTGTGCTAGAACTGGATGCACCTTGAATTATGGCTAATTCATACTCCCTTTTTTTTTGTTTTTCGAGACAGAGTTTTGCTCTTGTTGCCCAGGCTGCAGTGCAATGGTGTGATCTTGGCTCACCGCAACCTCTGCCTCCGGGGTTAAGCGATTCTCCTGCCTCAGCCTCCCAAGTAGCTGGGATTAGAGGCATGTGCCACCACACCTGGCTAATTTTGTATTTTTTGTAGTTTAGGGTTTCTCCATGTTGGTCAGGCTGGTCTCCAACTCCCAACCTCAGGTGATTAGCCCGACCTCTGGCTAATTCGTACTCTTAAAGTTTCAACTGAAATATCACTTTGCCTTCAGGGAAGCTCCCCCGCTACCCCAAGGTTAGAGGTAGGTTAGAGGCGTATTTTATATACTTTCTGTAGGAAGCACTTTTCTTTCTATATTGTAATTGCATGTTTATTTGCCTGTGTCTCCTGTTAGACTGTGAATTCCTTGATGGTAGGGATGGTGTTTGCCTTGTTTAGTGTTGAATCCCTAATGTCTAGTCCTGTACCTGCTCCACGTAGTAGGATCTTAGTAAATATTTGTTCTGTAAATGAATGAAACTGTGGAGCTGAAATTCAGGTCTGTTCAATTCTAGCCTTCCACTATCCCAGGTGAACAATGCAAGACCAAGTGAGATAGGTTCTGTGAGTGGGAGGCCAGGAGTTTGCTGTGAAATTCCATGGAAAGAACAGACATACTATATGGGGGGTTGAAGGAGGGAGCTTGTGAGCTTGATCTTGAAAGATGAGCAGAATTTTAAGAATAAGCAAAAGGGAACCACATAACTGACAAAGCAGGTGTGAGTGAGCATGACTTACTTGGAGAGTGGTTAGGTCAGGGTTGTTGGGGGAGTGGTGGCAGATAAGGGAAATAAGAGAGGGCATGATAATGGGAAGATGAAGTCTAATTTGGGACCAGATTATAAAAGGCCTTTATTTTATGCTTAGTATCTTGGGTTTTATTTTGTAGGCAATGGGGATTCTATAACTTTTTAAGAAAAATCTTTTTATTATAAAACACAGATATTGAAAACCACATAAAATAAATGTATAGCTTAATGAACTCTTATAGGCTTAACTCTTGTGCAACCCCGCCCAAGTTGAGAAGTAGTTCTTTCCAGCCATCCCAGAAGTCCATCCAGGTGTTTTGTCCTAATTACAACTTCCTTCCACAAAAGCAAACACTATCCTGACTTTTATAGTGTTTCTTCATAGTTTATCTACCACATGTGCAGCCCCTAGATACCCTAGTTTTGCTCATTAAAAAAAAAAAAAAATTGATATGTGTTTTGTATCTCTTAAATTACTCAAAAGAAACTTCCGAAAACGTAGCTGTTGAAAAACCAGACTGTTAACCTGTGGAGATTCTCCCAGTTTGGCTTTTGCTGATTCCATATGCTGTTTATGTGTTGGACTGTTGTGTAAAGAGATGCTGCTTCTCATCTGCGATGTGGTTACCCAGTAGTGTAGTTCATGTAGGGAAGGCAGGATAAAATTTTGATTCTGTTTGTCAGATAATGATTTTGTTTCCTGCTACCTCCAAAGATGAGCAGTTAGGTGTTTTTTTTTTTAAAGAATCATTACGGGCTGATGTTTTTAAACATAGTTGGTGTGTTTCCATCTCTTGTAATTGTTATGCCTGTTGAAGCTCAAATTATCCCATCTTTGGCCAATAAGAACCTCTTCAAGTTGGTTCCTGAGACCTTTTTTGACATAATCCCATCGTCTTCTGTTTTTTTGCTCTCTGGTTTGATAAGATGTTCCAAGTTCATCTTGTGCATTTCTTGCCCCAGACCTTTAATCAGAACATTCTCCAAGAAGCCTTAACATTCTGGCTGGGTGCGGTGGCTCACGCCTGTAATCCCAGCACTTTGGCACTTTGGGAGGCCGAGGCGAGTGGATCACTTGAGACCTGGCAATCATAGAGAAACCCTGTCTCTACTCAAAATACAAAAATTATCTGGGCGTGGTGACGCACGTGTATATTCCCAGCTGCTTGGCAGACTGAGGCAGGAGAATCGCTTGAACCCGGGAGGCGGAGGTTGTAGTAAGTTTAGATTGCACCACTGCACTCCAGCATTCTGGGCGACTGAGTGAGATTCCACCTCAAAAAAAAAAAAAAAAAAAAAAGGAGCCTTACATTCTTTTACTGAGAAATGATACTGAAGTTAGGAATGTTCATTACTGCTGGGTTGGCCTAGGAATTACGTGTGTGTGTGTGTGTGTGTGTGTGTGTATATATTTAAAGATAAAATACCTTATGAATTCACATTGATAACTTGCAATCAAAATTGAGGACTCCAGGGATTTTACTAAACCTCTTCTATATTACAAATATATTTCTTTCCTCCCAAATTGAGTATTCTGGTTCTCAAGGGCACAGGGGATCATAGAATTAGAATATCCGATGGTTACTTATTACCTATCTCCCATGGTAAACATATAGATGTCTCAGAACAACAATATTACTGCTGCTACCACCAATGTGATGACTTGAAACAAAAAATGTTTTTGGTTTTTGCATATGCTCTTTCCATTCTTCCCCCATTAAAAAAATAGTACTATATGTTGTAAGCATGTGCACATGTTACATATTATACCCTCTCTTTAAACCATGTATAGTTTTTGCAAGAAACTGTATATTCAGTGTTCAGCACCAGTCCTTATAAGTCTCTAGTCATTTTTTTAATTGAAGCTCATTCTCTAGTTAAGATTCCTCGGGAAGCGTTCATGGGAACATTATTCCTGGAGTTTTTATTACAACTTATTTACGTAATTCTAAAACTTACAGATTTTATAAAACGTTATTGTGCTTATTGTTTGTATCATTATATTTGAAATTCAGTTTTGCTGGATGTAAAAATCCTTGGCTCGTTTTCTCGCTTGTGTATCTTTCTTAAATATGGTACTCCATTTTCTTTTGGCATTAAGTGTTGTTGTCAGAAAGCCCAATAATCTAATTTTCTTTTTCTTTAAAGTCCACTAATTTTGCTAGTCTCTGTCTCGATGTTGGTAACTTTGGTTCTGTAGTCTCAGGTATGTGTTGTGCTTTTTAAATAATGTAGTTCAAAATCTTTTTTTATTTCAGGAATGTTATCTTGAATGACAGTTCTTGGTGGTGGTCTATTATCTTTGCTTTTCTTCTTCATCATCTCCTATTATTGTTTTAGCACCACAGTCCTCTTCTGCAGTTTGATCGCTGTCTTTTTTCTCAGCTACCCAGAACTGAAGCCTGTGCAGTCCATCAACGCCCATCCTTCCAACTGCATCTGTATCAAGTTTGACCCCATGGGGAAGTACTTTGCCACAGGAAGTGCAGATGCTTTGGTCAGCCTCTGGGATGTGGATGAGTTAGTGTGTGTTCGGTGCTTTTCCAGGTAAGTGACTCTATCAGCACTTCCCTTGTTGGGTACATTAATTTTATTTCATCGTGAGTGACATTGTTCCCTCCTCTTACTTGGTAATTCTCTTGTCTCTTCTGTCCACTCTGTATCATAGGCTGGATTGGCCTGTAAGAACCCTCAGTTTCAGCCATGATGGGAAAATGCTGGCGTCAGCATCGGAAGATCATTTTATTGACATTGCTGAAGTGGAGACAGGTAACTTCATGAGAATCTACCGTCTTTCACCTTTGGCAGTCAGGACTTCTCTTGTGATCTCATCTCTGCATGTGACTACTTCACCAGCATGATCATGAATGAATTTGTCTCCTTTAGACAAGTATGTTTCTGTTTTGACTGTCACTGCCAGGTGGTGAGGAAGCAAAGAGTTAAGAAATAAACAGGCAGGTCTGAGGAAGGTGATTTAGAAAAATATTTTGATTTATTTAAACTTTAAACTACAGAGTAGAAGGAAGAAAAAAGCACCACTTGGGGTCCCACTCTCTAAATACCACCTGTTTTAAATGTTGTGATATATTTCTCTTTATCTTTTGCCTGTATATGAACTTGAAAAAATATTATTTAAAATTTGAGGAATTATAAAGTTTTTGCTTTAAAAACAACAGAAGCTGGAAATAGAAAAATGGGAGGAGAGTATTCATTTTGCAAAAGAATTTCCTCAGATTTGTTTTTTAATGTTGCTTTATTGTTTTTGGAAATCTGTGACACTCTTCGTAAAAAGATTAAAACTGTATAGAAAACTTCGAAGAGGAAAGTAAAGAACTTGAAATTCCACTATGTAAAGAATGCTCCTGTTAGTCACGTTGTGGTGAACATTGTCCAGCATCCAGCCATGCAGATCCTTCATGTAACTGCATGTCCCTGTGACGCGGAGACACTTTCCTGCTCAGTGACCTGCTCTTGAGTTAACCCACCTGTGCTCAGAACCGGCTCTGTCCTCCGCTGGCTTGTGGGCTCTCTGTGCCTGGGGGTTCTCTGTAAAATGAGGTAATAGTTGTATCTATCTCATGGGATTAGTAGGTGGATTAAACCAGTTAATACAGGTAAGTACTTAATGAATGTGTCCTTCGTTTTGAACGTATTGATTGGTTTCTCTCTATTGTTTTCTATAGGGGACAAACTATGGGAGGTACAGTGTGAGTCTCCGACCTTCACAGTGGCATGGCACCCCAAAAGGCCTCTGCTGGCATTTGCCTGTGATGACAAAGACGGCAAATATGACAGCAGCCGGGAAGCCGGAACTGTGAAGCTGTTTGGGCTTCCTAATGATTCTTGAGAGGAGGTTGTAGGGAGAGGAGGCCCCGGCAGAGGTCTTCCTTCATGTGGTTAGTTTGGTCTGTTCTCTCGGAGTTGGTGGGCACCCTAAATATTTGTAAGTTGGTATAAATTGTAAACGTCTCTGGTCAGGCTGCGCATTTCGTTCTTTTGCTTTGTCTGTGTATTAGCTCTTTCCATTCTTTGCCCCCAGCATGAGTTAACTCGCGTGGACTCTGCAGTGCGAGTAGTGACCCCAGCATACCTTGTCCTCTGGACCTCCTGTCTTCTCTGCTTCTGGGTGCATGGTAGACTTTGTGGCATTTGATACAACTTGGACAATACCTAGTTTGGAGGGAGGGGAATGGAAGGGCATGGAAGTTTTTTTAAATAATTAAAAAAATATATATATAATTTTGAGAATTGAGCATTTAATAAACTGACTTTTGTTATTATGGAACTTCTAAGACTTTTAAAATTATTATGTCCTTGAGTTGCAGTTTTGTATTTTTTTTTTTTTAATTTCAGAAAGAGAATTTAAATGTTATAATTCTGTCATTTAATGTCCCAACCAAGAAGCCTCTGAAATATAGGGACAAAGCTAATTGAATGACCGAACTAAAATTTTGACTCTGAGCTTCCTGGTGGCAAAGTGAAGAGGGGAGTAAGTCAGTTAGCTTTCTTATTGAAAAGAAAAACACTTATTGGTTCCTCATGGAAAGCAAAGCTTTATTAGTTCTTCCCTCTAAAAAAAAGGGCTTATGTTTGGGGGGTTGTTACCTAAGAGCAGTGGTTTTTCATTATATTGTAATTTTGTTTGGTGTTAAAGCAAATATTGAGGCATATAGAAATAGTGTTGGTAGAAAATTTTGGAAAAAGATAAGCAAAAAGAAAAATTACATTCCTAGCACCAAGAGGTAACTGCTATTAGAATTTTGATGTATATCCTTCCAGAAGTTTTCTCGTGTCCATGTTTATGTATAAAAACATGTTTATCTTCATACATGAAGGGTAGACAAACCAAGTATGGCAAGATAAGTTAGGCAAGGTGCACAGCACCATGTTGGGGAGTATTATAAACACTCAACAAGTCTTAATAGACATTTGTAGTTACTGGGCATTCACTACATGCCTGCTACTATAAGGAACACTTTTATCAGCTGTTACTCAGTGTTTGCAGCAGCCTTCTGAGGTGGGTGTTATCACCATTTTACTACCTCAGGGAGTTTAAGTAACTCAGTGTTACTCATCAAGTGACTGTATTCAGATGTAGGTTTGTTTAAAGGCCCATGTGCCTTTGCTTGTAATGGGCTACTCTGTTTCTGCAAGTATTGCCATTCCCGCTTCACAGATGAATAAACCATGGCCATGAGAAGTCAACTGTTGGCCCATATTAGTGAGTGATGTGTTGAGCAGGTGCAGTAGTGTGCACAGTAGTGTTTGCAGTAGCGTTTCTCACCTTCCCTGATGAAGGGTCTTTTCAGTTGCAAACCAACTTGCCACCTCAGCGGCAGAAGTTGAGTGTTGTTCGTGTCACCGTGAGTAAATTTGATGCATTATTTCTTGTTTTTGCAACCATCTGTCATTCCTGTGGTCTCTGCCATGTTTATATATTCCCTCTAGAACTGGTACCAGATGCTGAGGGTTTGGGCTACATCTTAATATTTGATTGATTCCCTCTTCCATCCTTGTGGATTTTTTTCTCCTCTGGGTTTATGTAAATTAGTGATCCACACGACCTGTCACTTAAACAAGAGGAAACTTTGCATTTAACTGGTGGGACACTTGTAGCAACAGGAGAACACACATCCATGAGCAAGGAGTCCCAGTGTGTGTGAGTTTTTGCAGACTCTCAAGGTCTTGATGACACCATCTCTGTGCCTTGGCTTTGAAGTACTGGAGGAGTTCAAAGGTGGGTCCATCCTGGGGAAATGACATGTCTCAGACCCGGGGCCCCTTTGGTTTGAGTGCATTTTCTAGTTCTGCAGAGCTGGAAGGATGCCATTCAGAGTCACAGCTGGCCATTTATTATTTGGTCTGTCGAGGCATTTTCTGCAGTTGCTACTACACACATCAGCAAGTCAGGAGTGAGTGGGGAGGTCAGCTACAAGCTAGATTTTAGTTGGCAGCGAGAGTCTAGGATTTGCTGCACTTGTTCACACACACACTTACTCATCATGTGCCCAAACAGACTGCAGTATCCACATACCAATGACCCACTGTTGTGTTGGCTGGAATGACAAGTCAGACTGATAGGTAGTGAAGTTTGTAGTATCATCTCTTTTGCTGAGATCCTGGTATTTGGATGGCGTGAGATCCAGAGTAGGATGAGCCATGCCACATGGGAAGCTTGTGAAGTGTATGTGCCATGTTGTTCCCCACACCTTAACCTGTGTGGGTGGGAGGCTGAGCAGCTGGAGTCCTGGGAGAGGGTCCTGTGTGGGGATGGGAGGCTGGTGCAGGGAGTCCTGACCAGAGGCAGGTGGATCCAAGGAAGGGGCTAAGCCCAGAGCAGGCTCCTAGGAGGTCTTGCAGGGGCGGGGGGTGTAGGGTCTGGGGGAGGGAAGACAGAGAGAATCTGGTTGGGGTGCGATGTGATGTGTGGGTTGGCTCAGTTGAGAGTGGCCAGGAATGGGGTAGAAATGTCCTTGAGCCCTTTCCTGTTTGAAAGATGTATTCTGCTCCCTAAGGGTTTTAGTTACACAAAGGACCATGAAATGTTTTCCTGCTTTGGAAGGAAAAAAGCCCATAGACAGATGTAAAAGGTAATTCCTCTCTTCAGGAAGAGAGTAGAGGTTGAACAGAGTGTGTTGCGGACTCAGAGATACCCAGATGTAGGTGAGGCGTTGCGTTCTTTTCTCTCTCTGACGCTGTGGTGCGGTGGAGATAACACTGGCTTCATAACTTGGGCAGAATCAGATTTGAAGCTGGCTCCAGCAGTGGTTTATCTGAACCCACTTTGCTCATCCATTAAGTGGAGACAATGAATCCCCTTCTTGGGTCGTTAGGAAGATTAAACAAGATACAGCCTGTACGGTGTCTAGCACAGCACCTGGCACAAGGGAGGTGCTTAATAAGCCTTCCCCTTGCTTGAGGTGGAGGAGCTCCTAGCGAGAGCATGGAGACCTGTCACTGGTCTGTCATCCTTCTCAGCTCCAGTGCCGCCACCAAGCGAGCAACGTTCATCATTCCAGAGTGAGTGCTGTGAAGGGAGGATATGGATCCATCACACCCCGGGCGCAGTGGGAGGTTCAGAGGAGAAATATGAGATCTGCTTTCCGTTTGCAGTCAGTTTGGGCTCATGATGGATAAGTGTGTGTGTGTGTGAACAAGTGGAGCATAACTCAGACTGCACAGCAGCGGGTGAAGGAGGAGGGGGGCAAAGCTCCTGTTAACTGAGGCTGCTGGGAAAGGGTCGTATGGGGAGGGGGTGGCCTCAGTGCAGGCCTTGGGTAGAGCAGAGGTGAGTGCAGGACAGGGGACAGGTGGGGGGGCGTTGCTGCAGCTTGGAGCCAAGCCAAGGTGTGGCCGTCAGTGTCCTGGACGTGAAGATGGTCAGGGGCAGTAGGAGATGTCGCTGGAGGGAAGAGGGAGGGAGGGGTGTCTGGTTCTGAGTGGTTTCAGTTTGGACTGGCTGGTAGTGTGGCTGGGTGAGTAGGTAAGAGACGGATATACCTGGGTTCAGATCCTTTCCTGCCATTGCTAACAGGGAGACTTTAGCCAAATTACTTCACCTCCATGATTTTGCTTGTCTTTAAGATGTGCCTGATGGTAATGTGACTTAGGAGGGTTCAATGAGTTGCTGTGTGTAAATGCCTGGCACACTGTGGGCGTGCAGGAAACAGCAGCTCTTGTTACCTAGGTGCTAATACCATACGTGTGTGCTGTATAACCTCCCTACCTTAGGAAGGGGTTTTCAGTGTCCCCTGGGCTCATCACATTGTCTAAAAGGGAGGGATATAGCGTTGTAAAGAAGATACTGTAGCCTTGAAAAGAGGATGGGATTTGGAGAAAATGAATATTTGACAATTATTTTTTATCACCCATTTGTAGAGCTAAGGCCATTTAACTTTCAGGAACACTAAACTGGAAACTATTCAGCCAATATTTATACAGATTTACTAACAGTTTACATGTTTGGGATGGTTAGTGATGCAGAGCCATAAGTTGTTGAATTTTAAGACATCCGGCAAGAGGCATAAGTCGTTCAATTTTAAGACCTCTAGCATCTCACTCTTTTACGACTTAGAAGAAGCAGACCTGCTTGTGAAAACATGCCCACCTGACCAGCAGCGTCAGTGACAGAGTCACCGGGTACAACTTGCCCGCTGTCAGGGACCACTGGGGCACCATAGATCTACCAAGAACAAGTTGATAAATTTACATTTCCTGTTACCTTCCTGATAAGGTTACTGGAATACAGGTCAGGGAATGGTGCAGATGCAGCAAGGAATCTGTCCAGTCATCTCGGGATGTCCTTGAGGACCAAAGGAAATCTGGGCTGGCACAGGTTGATTTGTAGCTGGTCATCAACTGTACCCCCAAGGGGGATTACAGTCAGCTTCGAGAATAGCTGCTCTCCTGAAGTATCACAGTTGAGTTCAGGTTGAGGGTGATCAGGCCTGTGATTGTTTATTGAACGTTTATGATGGGCTGTGTCTCCTCCAAAATGACGGCCAAAGTGCTTTGCTCAACACATAGGAGGCCCTCTCACGCTCTGTTGGGTTGACCACAAATTGAACTCATCTGGCTAGGACTGTACAAGGGAGAGGGATAAACCAGACCACTGTACCTTGGACCTACTGTACGGGTAAAAACTGGTTCAAGGAGGTTAGAGAACTTGTCCAGGGTCAAACGGTCTGTATATGAGTTTGAAGCCCATGTTCCTTTCATCCCAGCTGTTTAAGTTTAGCCTAGTCTAGATGTGGCTTAACAGTAACACAGATGTAGAGGCTTAGGGTCTTAGGAGTTTGACCATCAACATGGGATTCACCTGGTTCTTTGTGGGAAAGATGTCACACTGCTGATGGGCAGAAGCCAGGGGACAGAGAAGCTTTAGCTTGGAGACCTGGAAACAACACATTCAGGGGAAGAGGGTTCATTTATTCAGCCAGTCACTCAACCCCTCTCCTGTGCCAGGCCTGACTGGAACACTGAGGGTACAGAGGTGAAGGTCCCACAGCCTGGTGTGCAGATGGTGACAATTCATGTGAGTGGTTTCATTAAAAAGCAAGACAGATCCCACCTCTCCCTTGCCTAGAACACTCCATTGGCTCTCACTCCACCTTCCTCAGATCTGATCTTCCCAGGCTGCTTTCTCAGCATTTAGGTCTTAATTTAGAAGCAGTCCTCTCTAACCTGAATGTTAATGTAGCCTCCCTTTGCCCCATTGCTGGATCTCTTCCCACCGACTTTAATTTTATTCAGCGTGCTTATCATGGGAAGCTACTCCTGTTTGCTTCCTTTGTGGCTGTCTCCCCAGGTAAACTGCCAGATGTTCTAGCAATTTTGCCTGACATGTTCATTGCCGTACCCCACATCTCCAGCACCGTGCCTGGTAGTACTCAGCAGGTGTTCAATAAATAGCCATTAAGTAAACGAATGCACGAGAAAGGAGTTACCAATCTGGGCAGAATGACAAGCAGGCGGTTAGTCCTTGCTTGGTGGGGAGGAGGCAAGAAGGTGGGATCTCAGCATGGTAGGTGCTGTAATCCCCAGTTCACAGGGTGGGAAGCAGGTTGTGTTTCCTTGCTCCAGTGACTCAGCTGTGAGGCAGAGAAGCAGGATCTATACATTTGTGTGCAGCTTCAAAGCCCAGGTCTTCCAGGAGGTCAATTTTCTTGATCCTGGCTATATACTGGAACCACCTGATGTTCATTCTCCATGCCAAGCAAGCTCCCCAGGGGATTCTAACAGGATGGAGAACCACCATCCTAGGCCCTGGTGCTTCTCTGATCTGTGGAAAGGTGAGTGTTGTCACAGAAATGGCACAACAGTGCCTGGGAGTGGAGGGAGAAGGCTTCCTGAAGAAGGCACTGGGGTTTGTCTTAGAAGGGTGGGTAGGAATCTGCTGGGCAGCTCTTGGAGAAGGTTTGAGGCAGAGGGGCTGGTGTCTGCAAAGGCGTGGAGACATGCACCATCCTGGTCTGGTGTGGACAAGGAGCAGGGCAGCGGGGCAGGCAGGGTGAGGATGGACTCCTTGAACAGTCTTGCACTGAGGAGAGTGTTGACTGACATATTTGGACTCTTCTACCTTGTCTGTCATGGTCTAATGCATGTCTTTTCTGGGTGTGGTTTCTTTTCTTTTTTTTTTTTTTTTCTTTTTTCGAGACTGAGTCTCACCCAGGCTGGAGTGCAGTGGCGTGATCTTGGCTCACTGCAACCTCCACCTCCCGGGTTCAAGCGATTCTCCTGCCTCAGCCTCCCGAGTAGCTGGGACCACAGGTGTGTGCCAATACACCCAGCTAATTTGTGTATTTTTTAGTAGAGATGAGGTTTCAGCATGTTGGCCAGGCTGGTCTCAAACTCCTGACCTCAGATGATCTGCCTGCCTTGGCCTCCCACGTGCTGGGATTACAGGCGTGAGCCACGCGCCCAGCAGGATGTGGTTTCTTGAGGATCCTTTCAGGGCTTTGGCCTCTCCCAGCTCCTATCCCACTACTATTAGGGTCACAGAGGAGGAGGTCAAGACTGGGATTTACCCATGAAGGCTCTTT
Source organism: Homo sapiens (assembly GCF_000001405.40). Taxonomy (NCBI): domain Eukaryota; kingdom Metazoa; phylum Chordata; class Mammalia; order Primates; family Hominidae; genus Homo; species Homo sapiens. Next base: position 25,061 of record NT_187652.1, read on the forward strand.
GGATGAAATCAGCTGGATATTGGCTGGGTCACTTTGTTAAAGACCAGAACCTGGGGTGGGAAGCCTGTGCCTGTTTGGATGTCAGAGCCCACAGCCATGGGCCCCTGGCCCAGCTTCCTAACCAGTTTGGCCCTATTTGCCTTGGAAGCACTTGGGCTGTGGGGTCAAATGGTCCCACGCGCTGATCTTGGCCTTGGCGCTTGCTGGCTGCATGAACATGAGTACATCTTGTCACCTGTCCCAGTTTCAGTCTCTCTATTCTGGGCAGAAGGATTTTCTCACCAACAAGGACTAAGTACCCTCCTGTAGGCTCAGGACTAGGGCAGAGCTTGTACACGATAGAGGAGATGCTCGATCGGGTTCTCTCTCCAAGTCCTGCTTCTCATGGATTTAAGGGGCTGTGGAGGGCCTGACTGCTGTGCTGAGTTAGGCCCGGGGCCTGCCAGTGGAGTTCTAAGGCCTTTAAAGAGTTTGAGTTGTGTTTTAGGAAGACCACCTGGGGCAGTGTGGAAATGTCATGATTGAGGGAGAGAGTTTCTTGAAGCAACTCCGTCTAGTGCAGAGCTTCTCAAGCTAGGGTGCATCTAAGTATCTGGAGGAGCTGTTAAAGCACGTGTTGCTAGATCCCACTCTGAGAGTTTTATTTTTGTTTGTTTGTTTTTTGAGACAGAGTCTTGCTCTTGTTGCTTAGGCAGGAGTGCAATCGTGCGATCTCGGTTCACTGCAACCTCAGCCTTCCTGGGTTCAAGCAATTCTCCTGCTTCAGCCTCCCCAGTAGCTGGGATTACAGGTGCCTGCCACCATGTCCGGCTAATTTTTATTTTTTCTTTTTGTATTTTTAGTAGAGATGGGGTTTCACCATGTTGGCCAGGCTGGTCTCATACTCCTGGCCTCGTGATCTGCCCACCTCGGCCTCCCAAAGTGCTGGGATTACAGGTGTGAGCCCAGCTGAGAGTTTGATTTTCTAACATTCTCAGGGGTCGCTGTTGCTGCTGCCGCTAATGTTGGTAAAGTGGTTAGTCAGATAGATACAGGGCCCTTGCCCAGGGTTTAAACCCTTGCTGGGTTTCAACTTTAGATCTTCTACTTGTAGCTAGCTATGTGGCCTTGGCCAGGTCCTCTAACCTGTGTGAGCCTTAGTTTCCTCATCTGTAAATTGGAATGCTACCTACTTCCTAGGATGTTGTAAGAATCCCATGATTTAACGTGTATAATCCCTCAGCACAGTGCCTGTGGTCAGCATTTAATAGAGGATCGTTTTATTATTTTATTAATACCAGTGAGGAGGCTGTTGCTGAAGTCCAAGGGAGAGATGAAAGAGAGGCTGAACGAGGCTCGTGGCTGAGGGATGGAGGGCATCTGTTTTCTCAGTGGCTCAAAGCCTATGATCCTCCCTCATAGGAGAACACGTTGCTTCCTTCCACAGCGGGAACTTGCTGAAAACCTGTCGGCTGGTGCCTGTGTGTCCTCTAGAGGGCAGTGGAGTCAAGGCTGAGGATGGAGCATTGTGTGCCCTCGGTTGGGGCTGGTCTGTGCGTTCAGCCTTTATTCCCTGTTCTGAAACCCAATTGTGTATTTGCATTGGACTGTCCCCTCCTCCTTGCTCTGTGTACTTGCTGACGCTTTTTGGAAAACACATCACAGGGCACCTCTGATTTCCTGCTTGTCTTGTAGCCTGGGATTAGCAGTAGCTGAAGCGTGCTGCTTTCTGGCAGTTGTGTTTATTTCTCAAGGGCACAGGCTGTACAGATCATGGGGGCCTGCTCCCTGCAGCTCAGCTGAGCCTAGGATGAACCACAGTTGCTCTTATGCCAGTTAAAAACTTGGGGCCTGTTCCATCTTGCATTTCCTCCCCCGCTTCCCAGTCCTCGCCCGCACCCTTTGATCCTGTGAGTGGAGAAATGAAGAGAACTCCAAATCCTTAATCCATTTTGAAGGCCGGCTGGCAGCAGGGCTTTCTGTGGGCCTGGTAAGCAGCCCTAGTTGAATCATTTTAGAGAAGGGCAGGTATTCTTTCAAGGTTATAGAAAGAAAGAAAAAAAAAAAAAACCAGAAGCACATTTATAATATTGGACAGTATACCTTGTCCCAAGCCCTGTACATTTGCTTTATTCCATAATAATAATAAAAGGTACTAGTGACAGCAGCGTCCGCTCACTGATTGTGTGGTAGGAGCCAGGTACTATGCTAAGTGATTTTCATGTGTTAACTCTTCTAAGCCCGGTAACTGCCCGTGAGATTATTAATCCTGCAGAAACTGAGGCTCAGGGAGGTCCCAGTAACACACATCGGGCCAAAGAATGGTGCTATTAGAAATTCAGACCAGTGTGTCTGACTCCAGTTTGCTAAAAACCTGCCTGCTGTCCAAGCTCCAGAATCACTGGGCATGGTCGATTCCATTTTTAGCCCAGCTCTTTCCAAAAGACATTAGGCATTAGACAGGAGAAGGCCATGGTTTTTACAAAGCAGTCTGTTTAGTATTCATGATCCTATAGCATAAGATTCAGTTAAGAGCAGGGATTCAGAGCCAGATTGCCTGGGTTCAAGTCCTGGCTCTGCCACTTACCATCTTTGCAACCTTGGGCAAATTCTTTGATGTCTGAGCCTTAGTTTTTTCATTTGTAAAATGGGGGATAATGGTAGCCACCTCATTGGTTTTCTCTGAGGGTTAAATGAGTTAATATATGTAAAGTGCTTAGATTAGTGCTGGGCACTAAGTAATACCTCAGTAGATGGTAGCTATTGTCATCATCATCATTATTCTTAACCATTATGCTGTATTCACCCATATATTCTCAGTGCCTGACTTATATTAGGGGTTGGTGAATATTGAATAAAATGATCCTTTGGATTCAGATTTTTTTTTTTTTTTTTGAGTTGGCGGGTGCCAGGAGCTAGCTTGATATAAAAATGAATCAATGTTAGACCCTTTCCTCAGGACTTCTCAGTCTGGTTGGAGAGGCCAGGCATGTGTGTGAATTACTGTAAAAGGCAGAAACATACCATGGAGGTCCTGATGTGGGTGAAAGCACTTTTGGACTGGGGTGCAGGCCATGGGCCAGCTTCAGAGGAGGTGGCTTTGGAATTAGGCCTTGAAAGGTGGAAGGAGGAGGAGGGGAAGAGTGGGTTAGACTAGAGAATTCAGGCTTCTCTTGGGCCTCATATACCAATAAGTTCACAAATGAACATTGAGTCAGATTGGGTTTTTATTCATTCAGCAAATATTCATCGAGGATGGTTGGAATCAGGCACTGAGACATCGTGATGGCTTTGAACTAGGCCCTGCCCTCAAGTGCCCTGGGTCTAATGGGACAACAGCCAAGGAAACAAGTGATGGTTATTCAGTGTGATGAGGGGCAGTATTGACTTGGAGCCTCTCAGATGTGGGTGAGAGGCACCCGAGTCAGACTGGTTTAAGCAGAAAGGAAATTCACACTGGCTCATTTACCTGGAATATATTCAAGTGTGGCTGGATTCGGGGGTCTCAAAATATGTCTTTAGGAAACTGCTTGCCTCTTTCCCCTGCTTTTCTCTGTGTTGGCTTCACTCTTTGGCAGATTGTCCCTTTGCAGTGTCACAGGTGGCCTCCGGCAGCTCCTGGCTTCCAAGTCACCAGCTCAGGGAACCCCAGCAGAAGGAGGATGCCTCTTGATCAGTAGTTTCCTCTGGAGTTGTGGAATTGAATATCACAGGACACTGTCAGTCATATGCATCCACCATGGCTGCAGGGATTGCCTGCCCACCCCTGCGAGGAGTACAGAGATACAGGGCATATTAGTTTTGCCCAAATCACATGAGCTGAGGTGGGTGGTGGGGGGAGGGAACTGTTATTTCACAAAGAAAATTCAGATGCTGTCACCAGGCAAAACCCACAGATGTCCACTACAGCTACCACCATGGAACAGAATAATTCACCCATTAAGCACCTGGCTTGGGACTCCAGTTCCCAGGGATGGAATCCCAGCTCCACCATTTACAAGTTGTGTGACTGTGGCTGGGTCACTTCACCTGTCAGCCTGAGTCTCAGTGTCCCATCTGCACAATAGGAGTGATGGCCCACACTGCCAGCTTGAATCAACGTGAAAGCACCTTGCAAAGAGTCCAGGCAGGCTCAGGCAGGCGGCACTGCAGTTTGGGGTGGCATGAACTATGATGTCTCTGGCATGTTATCCGACCAGTTCCAGGGCAGCTGTCTGCAGAAAGCAGCCGGTCGTAGCACAAAGAGTCAGGCTGTCCTGGGTTCAAAGCCTGAACCTCCCACTTACAAGCTACATGTTCCTTCATGATAATCACCTTTCCTGCCTCCCAGGGTTGTTGGAAGTGTCAAGGGGACATGTAGACAGCCTGGCACACTTTGTTCTGGGAGTGGTGATAGCTGTGTTCATAGTACAATTGCTACTCCACAGCATGCCAGGAGTCCAGGTGTGAATCTAACGGGACAGACCCCATACTCTGTGAACAAAAGCCCATCTTTCTGGATAAAGGGTACATTTGGCCAGCAGCCAAGGGCCCTGGGAAGGCTTTGTGCAGCCCGGCCCTTCCCTCCTTCCATTCAGCGAGAGGTGGGTACAGCCTCACGGAGGTTCATGTTTCACTATTAATTACCCCCCAGGCTCTTTTATCAGCCTGTCTCTCATTCCCACCACAAGGCTGTCAGCCAGACAGTTGGAACAGAATCTCATTTGGAGTGTGTTTGCTCTTCTCCCCCATTGCTGGCAGAGATCTGGGATCAGCTCTGCATTAGGACAAGTTGTAAGTAAACACACATTTGCTCAAATGTGGCCCTCGTCCCATTCTGTAGCCTTATCTTAGATTTGGGCAGCTTCAAATCAGGGAGCCAGTGTATTTGGAAAATACCTAAAAGTGGTTTAATTCAACCTACCCACTTTACAGAAGAGTAAATGGAAAATTGGAGGTTAGGTCGCTCATGTTTATATGAACTATTGAGGATACAGATAGAGCTGGAAATCAGGTCTTCCAACTGTTAGTCCAAAACTTTTCCCACAAAAACCTGGCGCTTCCCTCCAGTAGCACATATTGAACATCTACTAGTATATTCCAGGCCCTCTTCTAGGCCCTATAAAAACAGAGTTGAATAAGAAATAATCTCTGCCCTTGAAATGCCTAGGAACTTTCCATTCATTCATCCATCCCTTTGTACGTTCATGTTTCTGTCCATGCAATCACTGATCTGGTGTTTGTCTTATCTGTTCATCTCACTACCCATCCATCCCCCCATTCGTCCTTTATCTACTCATTTTTCCATTTGTCTCCTCTCTCCATCCATCCATGAGTACATCTGTTTATCTCTTTATCCATTCATCCAGCCATCAGTGTGTCTATAAGGCCCAAGTCCTAGGCTGTGCTGGGATGGAGATAAGTAAGAAACAATCTTTGCTGTTTAGGCTTTTACATCCAGTGCAGACAGACACAGAAACCTGCCTCAAAGGATGTATAAAAGGCTCTCGTACACAAGAAAGGACTTGCAATTCTGCCTCGTATTTCTGTGAAGGCTTCATTCTAAGGGTTGAAATAGTGCTGCATCTGGATAGGAGTTTCCCAGTGGGGAAGATGGGGAAGAACCTAGGCTGAGGGAACAACAGGAGCAGGGGCGTGAGGCTGTCCGGTGGGTGTAGGAGGAAGAGGAGTTTCGTGTCATTTGATGACTCCTTCAAGGAGCAAACTGGCCAGTTATAGTCAAGAGGGGTTGTCAAAGCCTATTTGGAGAGGACCTTGAATCCCAGAGCCAGAATGCCACCCTATGCGCGTTTGGGAGGCACTGTAAGATTTTCAGCAGGAAGTGACATAGGTAGGTGAGCATTTCAGAGAGACCACTCCAGGCAGTAGGATTAGAGGCAGAGGGACTCAAGTGTGAGGAGTGTTTAGAGCCTGTTCTGACAGCCTTAGGACAGTTGACATCCTGCCTGAATCAAGGTGTCCATAGCAGAGATGGGGCCTGCAGGGTGGGGTTTGAGCGACATGTGGAGAAAGTAGAACTTGAATGGTGATGTCAGAGATGTCTGACTGGGGCCGGAGGGGTGGAGGGAGGGGGTATAGATGACAATGCCATTTGCTTAGCTAAAGACCACAGGAGAAAGGGTTGTGGGGGATGCTGCAACAGTAATGCATTCAGTTTTAGACGAGCTGCATTCGAGGTGTCTGTGGGATAGCTGGGGAGACGTTGAGGATGCAGTTAATTATAGGATCTGGAGCTTGTGAGAGATGGGGCTGGGGGGAGCCAGTGAGACATCTGGAGTGTGGAGAGTGCTGACTGCGCGCAGAGCAGCAGAGGCAAAGCCGGAGTGGAGGCCTGGCATGGACCTTCTTATTAAAGGCATGGACCTTCTGGACTGCAGCAGGCTGTCCCAGAGAGGGAGGAGAGCGAGGAGTGTGTGAATTTTGCTAATTGTACTGTGGTTATGTACACTGTTGGCATTAGGGGGATCTGAGGGAAGGGTGTTTGGAAATAATGTGTGTTGTCTTTGCAACACTTCTGTAAGTGTAAGATAATTTCAAACCAGAAGTAGATTGTACTGGGTGCAGCAGTGCCTGCTTTACTCCTGTGTTATGTTTTTAAATGCCTTTTTTGATTTACATATTGACATGCAATAAATTACACATGTTGAAAGTGTGTGATAAGCATACGATAGTTTGATAAGTTTTGACATACATATTCTCTCATGAAACCCATCACTGCAGTCAGGGTAGTGAATACACCTGTCACTTACAGACAGTTCCTCATATCTCCTTGTCATTTCTCTCTGTGCCTGCACCTCTCCCTGCAATAGACAACTGCTGATCTGCTTTGCGTTACTGTGGTTAGTTTGTCTAGAGTTTTGTATAAATGGAATCATACAGCATGTACTCTTTTTAAAATTATTACTTAAAAAATTGAGGTAAATTATATATTTAATTTACCATCTTTACCATTTTAAAGTGTCTAGTTCAGTGGTAATAAATAGATTTATAAGGTCGGGCACGATGGCTCATGCCTGTAATCCCAGCACTTTGGGAGGCCGAGGGGGGCAGATCACCTGAGATCAGGAGTTCGAGACCAGCCTGGCCAACACGGTGAAACCCTGTCTCTATTAAAAATACAAAAATTAGCCAGGCGGCATGGTGGAGCATGCCTGTAGTCCCAGCTACTCAAGAGGCTGAGGCAGGAGAATCGCTTGAACCCAGGAAGTGGAGGTTGCAGTGAGGCAACATTGCACTACCGCACTCCAGCCTGGGTAACAGACCGAGGCTCCATCTCAAAAAAAATTTTTTTTAATTATAAAAATAAAATAAATACATTTATATGTATATTTTCTCCCATCATCACCTCTCTTCCTTCCCCTTCCCAGCCTCTGGTAACAACCAGTCTACTCTCTATCTTCATGAGATCCACCTTTTTAGCTCCTGCATATGAGTGAGAACATGCAATATTTATCTGTTTATGCTTGGCTTATTTCACTTAACATAATGACCTCTAATTTCATTTATGTTGCTGCAAATGATAGGATTTCATTCTTTTTTATGGCTGAATAATACTCCATAGTGTATTTTTGGTGGAATCTTTAAATTTTTTTCTAGGTATAAGATCATGTCCTTTGCAAACAAGGGTAATTTGACATCTTCCTTTCAGATTTGGATGCCTTTTACTTCTTTTTCTTGCCTAATTTCTCTGACTCAGCATGTACTCTTCTGTCTTGCTCCATTTAGTCAGCATAATTATTTTGAGATTCATCCATTTTGTTTCTTGCAAAAATAGTTCATTTTTATTTCCGCAGAGTATTCCATTGAATGGATATATCACAATTTGTTTATCCATTTAGCTGTTGGTGGCCATTTGTTTCCAATATGGGGCAGTTACAAACAGCTTCTATGAACATTTGTGTACAAGTCTTTGTACGGATATATATTTCCTCTTCTCCTGGGCAGACACCTAGGAGTGTGATGGCTGCATCATATGGTAAGTGTATGTTTAACTTTACCACCACGAGAGTGCCATTTCCCCCACACCTTCGCCAACACTTGTTATAGCCAGTCTTTTTATTGAAGCCATCCTAATGGGCATGTAATGGTATCTCACTGTGGTTTTAATTTGCATTTTTCTAATGACTTACATTGTAGAGCATTTCTTCATGTGCTTATTTGCCATCTGTATGTCTTTGGTGAAATGCCTATTAAAATATTTTGACCGTTTTTTAAAATTAGCTTGCTTGTTTTCTTATTGTTGAGTTTTGAAAGTTCTTTGTTTATTCTGAATATAAATGTTTAATCAGATATATTCTTCACGAATATTTTCTCCCTGTCTGTGGCTTGTCATTTTATTTTTTAAAGTGTCTTTCAAAGTGCAGAAGTATGTAATTTTGATGAAGTCCAATTTATTTATTGAGATCCAGAATACATAAGGAACTCATGTACAAGAACTTTGTTCTTTTATGGATCATGCTTTTGGTGTCAGATATTAAAAAATCTTTGATATGATATTCAAGGCCAAATATTTTTTTCTGTGTTTTCTTCTAGAAATTTTATAGTTTTAGGCTTTACATTTAGGTCTATGATCCATTTTTTAGTTAATTTTTTATAGATGATTACAAGTATGTATCCAAGTTTGTCTTTGTGCATATGGATATCCGGTTGTCCTAACACCATTTGTTAAGAAGGCTGCCTTTTGTCTACTGCATTTCCTTTGCAGTTTTGTCAAAAATTCGAATATGTATGGGTTTATTTGTTGACGCTTCCTTCTGTTTCACTGATCTGTGTGGCTATTTTGATGCCGATACCATGCTGCCTTGATTAATGTAACTTTATGATTCTTGAAATCTGGTAGTCCTAACCCTTCAACTTTGTTTTTTCAGAGGGGTGTGTGTGTACGTGTGTGTGTGTGTGTGTGTGTGTGTGAGAGAGTTCTAGCTTCTTTGCATCTCCCTATGACCTTTATAATTAGCTTGTCAATTTGTAAGAACAGCTTCCTGATACTTTAACTGGGGTTATGTTGAATATATGCAACAATTTGGGGAGAATTGATATGTTAATAATATTGACTCTTCTTTTAAAAATTGATTTATAGTATTTGTACATATTTATGGGGTTCATGTGATATTTTTGATAGGGCCAGGAGGCAGAGAAATTCCAGGCAGAAAAGGGCAGGGTCCCTGGCAAGGGCCCCACCCTCAAGCCTGACCCAAAGTGAGAACTTTACATCCCCGTTTTCCTGCTTGAATGTTGCCTTTTCCAAAACCACCCCTGGCCCACCCTGCACCCCCATCCCCTATCCATAAAAACCCCAGGCTTCACTGGCAGAGGGCAGAGAAAGGGAGAAGAGAAGAAGCAGCTGAACATCAGAGAGAAGCAGTTTGACTTCAGAGGAATGGCTTGATGGTGGGACTTTGGAGAAAAACACCTTCCTGCTCCATCCCCTTTCTAGCTCTCCTTCCCACTGAGAGCCACTTCCATGGGCAATAAAATCCTCCATATTTACCACCCTTCAATTTGTTCGTGCAACCTGATTATTCCTGGATGCTGAATAACAGCTCAGGAGCTACGGGTGTGAACACTAAAGGCTGTCACACTGACCCTCTGCCCTCACTGGTGGAGAGCAACCACTTCACGTGAAAAGGCAGAGGGCCCACTGAGCTGTTCAACACTTAAGCTGTCTGTGGATGGCAAAGCTAAAAGAGCACACTGTAACACACGCCCTCTGGAGCTTCAGGGATCACAAGTACTCCCCACTTGATGCTGCCTTGGGCCTGCACGGTGTTTTGCTCCTGCTGGCACCCAGAAGCACTCACCTTGGCTCGGCTCCTGTACCTCATCACCTGCGTGCTGCCCCTCCCATGAGGGGTTGAGAGCTGCAGGCTAAGTGAGCACCCTTGTCATGAGGCCTGCAGAGGGTTTAGGGAAAATTTCCTGTTTCATTTTGTTATATGCATAGACTGTTTAATGATCAAACGAGGGTGTTTGGGGTATCCATCCCCTCAAGTATTTATCATATCTATATCTTGGGAACATTTCAAGTCCTCTCTTCAAGCTATTTTGAAATATAAAACACATTGGTAACTGTAGTCACCCTACTCTGCTATAAAACATTAGAACTTCTTCCTTCTATAAAACTATATGTTTGTAACCATTAACCAACCTCTCTTTATCCCCCTGCACCACACTTACCCATCCAAGTCTCTAGTGTCTATCATTCTGTTCTCTACCTCCACGAGATTAACTTTTTTAGCTCTTACATTTGAATGAGAATATGGGATATTTGTCTTTCTATGCCTGGCTTATTTTACTTAACATAATGACCTGCAGTTCTATCCATGTTGCTGCAAATGATATGATTTCATTTTTTTGACCAAATAGTATTCCACTGTGCATATATACCACATTTTCTTTATTCATTTGTCCACTGATGGATACTTAGGTTGATTCTATATCTTTGCTATTGTAAATAGTGCTTCACTAAGCGTGGAGTTCAGGTATCCTTTTGATACACTGATTTCTTTTCCTTTGGATAAATACCCAGTAGTGAGATTGCTAGACTGTATGGCATTTCTGTTTTTAGTTTTTTGAGAAATCCCCATACACTTTTCCATAGTGGCTGCTCTATTTTGTGTACCCACCAACTGTATAAAAGTTCCCTTTTCTCTACATCCTCACTGTCATCTGTTACTTTTTGTCATTTAGTAATAGCCATTCTAACTGGGCTAGGAGAATATCTCATTGTGATTTTGATTTGCATTTCCCTAATGATTAGTGATGCTGAGTGTTCTTTAATATACCTGTTGACCATTTGTAAATGTCTATTCATGTCCTTTGTCCACTTGTTAATGGGACTTTTTATTTTTTTTACTGTTGTTTGAGTTCCTTGTACATTCTGGATATTCATCTCTTGTCAGATGGACAGTTTGCATATATTTTAATCCCATTCTGTGGGTTGTCTTTTCACTTTGTCGGTTGTTTTCTGTGCAGAAGCTTTTTAGTTTAATATAGTCCCACTTGTCTATTTTTATTTTTGTTGCCTGTGCTTTTGAGGTCTTAGCCACAAAAATCTCTGTCTAGACCAATATCCTGAAGTGTTTCCCCTGTATGTTTTCTTCTAGTAGTTTTATAGTTTTAGGTCTTATGTTTAAATCTTTAATCCATCTTGAGCTGATTTTTGTATATGGTGAGAGATGGGGTCCAGTTTCATTCTTCTGCATATGGATATCTAATTTTCCCAGCACCAGTTATTGAATAGGGTGTCCTTTCCTCAGTGTATTTTCTTGGCATCTTTGTCAAAAATCAGTTGGCTGTAAATACGTGGATTTATTTCTGGGTTCTCTATCCTGTGATAATTCTTAACCAATAACAAGGTATATCTCCAGGTTTACGGTTGTCTTTTTTAATACTTTAAATATATTGCTACATTGTTTGTCTTCTTGCTTGCATTGTTTCTGATGAAAAATTTGTGTTATCTTCATCTTTATCCCTCTATATGTGACATTTTCCCCTCTATTTTAAGATTTTCTTTATTACTGGTTTTGAACAATTTTATTATGATGTGTCTTGGTGTAGTTTTATTGATGTTTCTTGTTCTTGGAGTTTATTGAGCTTCTTGGATCTGTGGGTTTGTGGTTTTCATCAAATCTAGAAAATTTAGGATGTTATTTCTTCAAATATTTTTCTGTGTATTCTTTTCTTCAGGAACTTCAGTTGCATGTATATTAGGTTGTTTGAAGTTGTTCCATGGTTTACTGGCATTCCTTTCATTTTTTAAGCCATTTTTCCTTTGTGTGATTTATTTTGGATAGTTTCTATTGCTGTGTCTTTAAGTTCACTAATATTTTCTCCTGCAATGACTAATCTGCTGTTAATCCCATATAGTATATTTTCCATTTCAAACATTGCAGTTTTCATCTCTAAAAATTCAATTTCGGTCTATAAAAATATACCTTCCATGTGTCTGGTTAACTTTTTAAAAATATGGAATATTTTCAAAATATTATAATATAATACAATATGCTAAAATATAGTAACATAATGTCCTTCTTTGCTCGTTCTGATATTCATGTTAGTTCTAGATTGGTTATGATTGATTTTGTGCCTTATTATGGGTTATGTTTTCCTGCTCTTTTTTATGCCTATTAGTCTCTTATTGGATGTCATGCATTGTGAATTTTACCTTGTGTTGCTAGCTATTTTAGTATTCCTAAAAATGTTCCTTAGCTTTGTTTTAAAAAGCAGTTAAATCATTTGAAAACAGTTTATTTTTTTGTCTTGCTTTGAAGATGAGTTGTACAAGACCATAGCTGTATGTGGTGTTGGGCTGGTTATCCCTCACTATGAAGGCAAGCCTCTGAGTACTCTACTGAATGCCCTGTGGAGCTTGGGGCTTTACAATCTGGCTGGTAGGAACAGGCGCTATTCCTGGCCCTCAGAACCTGAAGCTGTTCCCTCAGATGCCCTTGAATGTTTTTTTCCCCTGGCCTTGGATAATGCATGTACTGCTCAGTGCTTTGCTACATACTCTGGGGGACTCGTCAGGTAGCTCCAGAGTTCTCTGTGTAGCTGTATACTCTTTAGAATCTGCCCTGCACACTGCAGACACCTAAGTATCTACAGACTTCTGTCTCCCAACTCAAATTTTGCAGACCTCTGCCTTGCTTCTCTCCCTCCCTGCCCTACAGCCTGGACACTCCAGGCAGCGAGGCAGGGCAGCTGTAGGCTCACTTTGTTTGTTTTCTGTCTCACAGGGATTATTGTCATTTGTTGCCTGATGACCACTGGCCTGAAAACTGTTGTTTCATGTATTTTTTTTTCTGGCTTTTTGGTTGTGTCAGGTAAGAGTAAATCCATACCCTGTGACACCATCTTGCTAGAAGTAGAAGTGTTACCTTTTTAATATATTATTTTTCCTTCAAAACCCACATTAGAAGGAACTTTGTAACAACAACCGACAGCTTGACAAAGTGTGTTCCCATTGTCCTGTGATTGCTCTGCTTTTCAAAGTAAGCCTGCGAGGTGGGTGTCATGTCATCCCCATTTTACAGATAAGGGGACAGAACCTCAGAGAGGTGAAGAGACTTGTTCAAGGTCACACGGTCTATAACGGCAGAGCCAGGATTGAACCCAAGTCCCCATTATACTTGTAGTTCCCACAGGGGAGACAGAACCACATGAAGGGTTGGCATCACTATATTTTTTTTTGGGAGAGGTCAATAAAGGTGGGCTCAGAGAGTAATATATCAAGGCCTACGGGGCTAATGAGCCCAGGAGTTTGTGGAGAGTCAGAGATCTCCATGAGTTGTTTTCCTAATGCCCCTTCCCACACCCAACCCCTTCAGATAAAGGAGTGTGCCTTCTACCTCATGCATCCATCCAGACAGGAGAATTGGGCTTTTTGCCAGGGCTGTAGACCTGGAGGTCTGGAACTTGGCCTGGCTTTGTGGGCTTTCATGGAAAGTGGAGAAGAGGGATTAGGGAAGAGGTAATGGATAAGAAGTACTGGTTGCTCAGGTTGGGGTGGTCAGGGAGGTGAGGGGAGGGAGAAGGGAGTACCAGAAGGCCAGTGGGTAGGCTTGCAGGAGCTGTGGGTGGATGGCGTGGCCCCAGGGGACAGGAGCTAGGTCCAGCCGGCTCCCACTGTCTTCTGGCTTGTAGGATTATCTCTGCTCCTCCCCCTTTCTCTGAGTGAGAAAGGTGGGAAATAAAATAATGAAGCCGTGAGTAGGTGAGGTGTTAGGGAGACAGCTTGCCAGGGTGGGCAGCACAGATGACTGGTGGGTGGGGAGGGAGGTGGTGGGAGGTTAATGTGCAGATCCTCAGATCTCCGAGAAACAGGGTGGAAGGGAGTCAGTCCGGTGTGCAGAGTTGCAGGTGGGGGCAATAGTGGGTGATACCCAAGGCACAGGTGGTTTCCTGGGAAGAAGGTGATGTGGTCTTTTCTTGGCTATGGAGGAGATTTTGAAATGTACTTGGGTAATTTGTTTTTAGTCAAATTTCCTTCTGACTGGGTTATTTAAAGCGTAGAATGGAATGGAACATAATAGCTACCATTTATTAAGTATCTACCGTATGCTTGGAATGCATTTCACGTGCATCAACCCACTTCATATCACATTTACCCTGTGAGGTAGGTTCTGTTACTAATTCCATTTACAGGCGAGGAGTCTGTGTCTCAGGGATATGGTGGCTAGTTCAAGCCCCCGCTGCATTTTATTTATTTGAGATGAGAAAGATGTTCATGGGGGAGTCAGAGCCTGCTTCGATAGAAATCATCCAGTAGTTTTTATTGTTTTGTTTCTTCCCAGGGCCTGCTCTTCCACTTGGCAAATTCGGAGCGCTGGAAGGTGGGGTGGGATGGGGACTTGGGAAAGAAAATAAGGATTAAAGACACAGTGGATGCCCAAGAGAAAAGAAAACTTAATTGTACATTTTCGTAATAACCCTGTTTGATAACCATTGAGAGAACTCCAAATGTTTTGTCCACCTAAGAGCAACCCTCTGTCTTCAGGGAGACAGGAGCTGCATCCCCAGCACTGCCTCCCTGCCTGGGGGCGGGCATTTGACCCTAGCTGTGCCAATCATAGCATTCCACCTCCACAGCAATAGTAATTGGTCCAGGCATGAGCACATGACTCAAACCAGGCCAATCACATCCTTTTCTGAGATTTTTTATTTAAAATTGGAGCTCGTAACCTTACTTACCCCTCTAGCAAAGGGTAATGGTAGGTCTTCCCAGATCATCTGGCAAACACATTCTTAACCTTGTGGAGACACTGACTGGAACAAATTAAACATATGCCAATAAAGTAAAGAAAAGATGGGCAGTTTCTCTTTCTCCCTTCCAAAAGCCCTGATTTCTGTTTAGAGAGCTATGTAGTCCTAGAAACATTGACTCTCCCTGTCCCTGTGACCCCAGAGTGGACCACTTGGCCTGGGCTGGGCACTCAGCACATTCCATTTCCCCACTGCAGAAACTGCCCAAGATGGGCAGTTATCAAGGCTAGTCCAATCAGAGTGAATTAAAGACTTGTACTGAATGCTGAAGTGCAGTGTCTCTTTCCTGTTGGATGAGAACCAACCAGGAAGCATGCAACTACCCTGTGAGCTTCCATTTTGGGACCAGCAGGCAAGCCAGTCTTGGAATAAGTTTGATCCTTTTTTTTTTTTTAATGTATGTATGTATGTATTTTTTGAGATGGAGTTTCACTCTGTCACCCAGGCTGTAGGGCAATGGTGAGATCTTGGCTCACTGCAACCTCTGCCACCTGGGTTCAAGCTATTCTCCTGCCTCAGCCTCCCGAGTAGCTGGGATTACAGGCTCCCGCCACCACTCCTGGCTAATTTTTGTATTTTTAGTGGAGATGGGGTTTTGCCATGTTGGGCAGGCTGGTCTTGAACTCCTGACCTCACATGATCCACTCGCCTTGGCCTCCCAAAGTGATTACAGGCGTGAGCCACCTTCGCCTGGCCTGAGATTGATTTTTTTTTTTTTTTTTTTGAGATGGAGTCTCGCTCTATCGCCCAGGCAGGAGTGCAGTGGTGCAATCTCAACTCACTGCAACCTCCGCCTTTGGGGTTCAAGTGATTCTTCTGCCTCAGCCTCCTGAGTAGCTGGGACTACAGGCACGCACCACCATGCCCGGCTAATTTTTGTATTTTTAGTAGAGATAGAGTTTCACCCTATTGGCCAGGCTGGTCTCGAATTCCTGACCTCCAGTGATCCGCCTGCTTTGGCCTCCCAAAGTGCTGGGATTACAGGCATGAGCCACTGCACCCAGCCGAGAATGATTCTTAAGAAGAGAGACAAGCAGAGATTCTGGGTCTAGCTAGTTGACCACTTCTTCCCTGAAGCCCATCCTATCTCTGGCTCCTCCTGATACGGAAGTCATAAATCCCCTCTATGGTCTAAAATACAACCACAAGCCTCTCAGCTGACAAGTTAGTCTTGATGCTATTTGAATTCTGGTTCCAGTCAGCTGAAAAGCCAGGTCAATGGGATTTTCCCTCACCAGTGATTTGTTATATGAGTGATTACACTCTTGTTTTTTCTTAAAAAATATATTTTTTAAATTTTAATGAAAACTTAGAGACATATACAAAAGTAGAATAATATCAGGTTGGTGCAAAAGCAGTTGTGGTTTTTGCCATTACTTTCAATCTATCAACTAATGGTAATGATCCTGATTTGAATCTAATTCAGACATCCAATTAGAAACTTGACGCCGGGCATAGTGGCTCATACCTGTAATCCCAGCACTTTGGGAGGCTGAGTTTTGCCATTACTGTCAATGGCAAAAACCACAACTACTTTTGCACCAATGTAATATAAGGCACTTGTTCTCAACCAGGGTTGAGGGTGTCAAAGGGGGCAAAAATTAGTTCTTGTGGAGGGAGTGAATAAATCTTAGGCAAATCTCTAAATAAGATTCTTTTAAGGCCAGGCTTGGTGGCTCACACCTGTAATCCTAGCACTGGTAGGCCCAGGTGGGTGGATCATTTGATTCCAGGAGTTTGAGATTAGCCTGGGCAACATGGCAAAACCCCATCTCTACTACAAAAAATACAAATATTTACCTAGGCGTGGTGGCGTGCACCTGTAGTCCCAGCTACTGGGAGGGGGCTGAGGTGGGAGGATTGCCTGAGTCTAGGAAGTCAAAGCTGCAGTGAGCAGTGATCACACTGTACTCCAGCCTGGGTGACAGAGTGAGAACCCATCTCAAAAAAAAAAAAAAGATTAAAAGCTAGTAACCACAATATTGTCATGCCTAAAACATTAAAAATACCTTCTTAATATCATAAAATACCCAATGTTCAAGGTGTTTTTGTTTGTTTTTGTTTTTGAGACAGAGTCTTGCTGCATTGCCCAGGCTGGAGTACAGTTGCACAATCTTGGCTCACTGCAACTCCTGCCTCCTGGGTTCAAGTGATCCTCAGCCTCCTGAATATCTGGGACTACAGGTATATGCCACCATGCCCGGCTTATTTTTTTGTATTTTTAGTAGAGAAAGGGTTTTGCCATGTTGGCCAGGCTGGTCTTGAACTCCTGGCCTCAAGTGATTTGCCCGCCTCAGCCTCCCAAAGTGCTGGGATTACAGGCGTGAGCCGCGTGCCTGGCGTCAAGTTTCTAATTGGATGTCTGAATTAGATTTAAGTCAGGATCATTGCCATTAGTTGATAGATCTCTTAAGTCTATTTAACATAAAGTTCTCCATGGTTCTCTTTCTTTTTTCTTGCAATTTACTTGTTGAAGACATTGGGTCATTTGTCTGTAGAGTCTCTCACAGTGTGGATTTTGTAGATTGCATTCTTGTGGTATCATTTAACATGTTCCTCTGTGCTTTAATTTGTTGCTCGGCTTTTATTGGAGTATGGCTGATTGACAGTAAACTGCATCTATTTAGAGTGTACAGTTTTATAAACTTTCACAGATGTATACATCCACGAAACCATTACCACAATTGAGATAGTGAACATAGCCTTTGTCCCAACGGTGTCCTCTTGACTGTCATCACTCCCCCATGGATGCCACCCTCCCATAAGAAAGCACTGTTCTCATTTGTGTTACTATAATTTAGTTTGCATTTCTTAGTGTTTTAGCTAGAATCATAGAATATGTACTTTTTTGTCTGGCTTCTTTCACTCAGCATAATTATTTTGAGATTAATCTATGTTGTTGTTTGCATAAATATTTCATTCCTGTTTATTGCTAAATAATATTCAATTGAATGGCTATATCATGATTTGTTGTTAGCCATTTGAATTTTTTCCAGTTTTTGGCTTTTACAAACAAAGCTGCTCTGAACATTTGTGTACAAGTTTTTACATGGATATATATTTCCTTTTCTCTTGGGAATTTCCTAAGAGTGGAACGGCTGGATCATATTGTAAGCATGTGTTTAACTGCACCCACCATGAGAGTGCCATTTCCTCTACATTCTCACCAATACTTGTTATGGTCAGTCTTTTTCACTGAAACCATTCTATTAGGTTGGTACAAAAGTAATTGCAGTTTTGCTCTCAAAAGTAATGGCAAAAACCACAATTACTTTTGCACACACCTAATAATATGTGAGTAATGTGTGTGCGTGTGTGTGTGTGTGTGTGAATTCTAGCTCCTTTGCTAGAATTTTAAAATTAGCTTGCTAATTTGTACAAAAAAATGCTCCCTGATATTTTTATTAAGATTGTGTTGCATATAGGGATCAAACTGGGAGAATTGCCATGTTAAATATTGACTATTCTGGCCGAGCACGGTGGCTCACGCCGGTAATCCCAGCGCTTTGGGAGGCCGAGGCAGGTGGATCACCTGAGGTCAGGAGTTTGAGACCAGCCTGCAAAACCCTGTCTCTACTGAAAATACAAAATATTAGCCAGACATGGTGGCGGGTGCCTGTAATCCCAGCTCTTCGGGAGGCTGAGGCAGGAGAATCGCTTGACCCCAGGAGGCGGAGGTTGCAGTGAGTCAAGATCGTGCCACTGGGCAACAAGGGTGAAACTCCATCTCAAAAAAAAAAAAAAAAAAAAAAAAAAGGACTATTCTGCTATTCTGACCCAATAACCAGGTATATCTTTCTACTTGTTTGTCTTTGAGAGCTTCTTTCAGCAAGGTTTCATAGTTTAGAGTGTACTAGTCTTCTGCATCTTTTGTCAAATGTCTGTTTCACATTTTTAATGTTTTATAAATGATATTTTAAAAAGTTGTAATTTCTGATTGTTTCTGACATACAAAAATATAATCTGCCCTGGTCTGCACGTCTTGTATCCTGCAATCTTGCCCAAAGTCATTTATTCATACTAGTAGCTTTTTTTTGCATTTCTTTGGATTTTCTACATAGACAAATACAGTTTTGCTTCTTCCTTTCTAATCAGGATGCCTTTTATGTATCTTTTTCCTTTTATTACTGGCTACGAACTCCAGAACAATGTTTAATAGGAGTGGTGAGAGCTTGTCTTGTCTTGTTTCTGATCTCAGGAGGAAAGCATTCAGTCTTTCATCAGTAAGTGTGATTTTTTGTTGTAAGTGGTTTGCAGATTTTTTTTTAATCGGGTTAGGTTCCTTTCTGTTCCTAGTTTTCTAAGAGATTTTTTCTAAAAAATCAGGAATGGGCATTGAATTTTTTTGAATGCTTTTTTCTGTGTAAGTGATCATATGGTTTCTGTTTTGTAGTTACTATTGTAAGTTAAACATTGATTGATTTTTCTAATAATGACCAACCTTTAATTTCTGACACATAGTCAGTCCAATTGGTTATTATGCTTTTAGTATGTTGTCAGATTCAAATTGCTAAAATTTGTTTAGACTTTTTTTCCCTATCTGTATTTATGAGCATTATTGGTCTGTAGTTTTCTTTTCTCACAATGTCTTTTTCTGGTTTTGGTATCTGGGTAATGCTTGCTTCATGGAACAAATTGGGGGAATATTTGCTCCTCTTCAATTTTTTGGAAGAGTTTGTGTAGAACTGGCGTTTTTTCTTCCCCTAAATATTTGATAACATTCACGATGAAGTGATGTGGACTGGAAGTTTTCTTTGTGGGAAGGTTTTAACTACAACTGCAACTTCTAAAATAGATAAGGGGCTATTCCCCTTGACTACTGCTTCTTAAGTGAGCTTTTGTAGTTTGTATCTTTCATGAATTTGTCTCTTTAAGTTTTCAGATTTATTGGCATAAAGAGTACACAGTATTCTCTTATCCTTTTAATATCTATAGAATCTGTACTGATGGCACCTCTCTTATTTTTGATCTTGATAATTTTTATTTTCTTTCCTTTTTTCCTGATCTATCTGGCTAGAAATTTATCAATTTTATTTATCTTTTTAAACAACTAGCTTTCATTTTCATTGATTGTCTGTATTGTTTTTCTATTTTGTAGTTTATTGATTTTCATTCTCACTATTTTCTTTGATGATGATGATGATGATGATGATGATGATGATGATGATGATGATGATTGCTGTTATTATTTGAGTCAGGGTCTTGCTCTGTTGCCCAGGCTGGAGTGCAGTGGTGTGATCTTGGCTCGCTGCAACCTCCGCCTCCTGGGTTCAAGTGATTCTCGTGCCTCAGCCTCCCGAGTAGCTGGGACTACAGGTGCATGCCACCACAACTGGCTAATTTTTGTATTTTTAATAGAAACGGTGTTTCATCATGTTGGCCAGGCTGGTCTAGAACTCCTGACCTCAAGTGATCTGCCCGTCTTGGCCTCCCAGTGTGCTGGGATTACAGGCATGAGCCACTGCACCCAGCCTCTTTGTTTATTTTAAATTTAATATCTCTTCTTATTCTAGTTTTGTAAAGGGAAAGTTGGACTCACTGATTTAAGATGTGATTATTTTCTTTTCTTCTTTTTTCTTTTGAGACAGGTTCTTGCTCTGTTACCCAAACTGGAGTACAGCTCACTGTAGCCTCAACCTCCTGGGCTAAAGCGATCCTCCCATCTCAGCCTCCTGAGTAGCTGAGACTACAGGCGCATGCCACCATGCCCAGCTAATTTTTAAAGCATTTTTTGTATGCTTTATGCTCTGTGTTGGCCAGGCTGATTGCTAATTCCTGGGCTCAAGTGATCTGCCTTGGCCTCCCAAAGTGTTGGGATTACAGGCAAGAGCCACTGCACCCAGCAGACCTTTATTATTTTCTAATATAGGCATTTAGTGCTATAAATTTCCCACTAAATGATGTGTTAGCAGCCTCCCACAGATTTTGATATGTTGTATTTTCACTTTCATTCAGTCCAAAATATAAGTGTCTTTTGACTTTTTTCTTTGATCCGTGGGTTATTTTGAAGTATGGTATTTAATTTCCCAACACTTGGGGGTTTTCCAGAGATCTTTTTGTTGCTGATTTTTAATTAATTATATTTTTGTCAGATAACACACTTTTTATGACTTGAATCCTTCTGAATTTATTGAGATTTGTTTTATGACCCAGAATGTGGTCTATCTTGTTAAATGTTCTATGTACACTTGAGAAGAATGTGTATTCTGTTGTTGTTGGATGGAATGTTCTGTAAATGTCAATCAGGTCAAGTTGATTGATAGTGTTATTCATCTTCTATATTCTTGTTGACTTTCTATATAGTTGTTCTATTCATTATTGATGATATTAAAATTTCTGACTATGATCGTGGATTTTTAAATTTCTCCCTGCAGTGCTATCATTTTTTACTTCATATATTTTGAAACTTCTGTTATTAGGTACATAGGTGTATAGAATTGTTATGTTCTTTTGATTAATTGTCCCCCTTTATTACAAAATAAACTTTTTTATCTTATAATAGTTTTTGCTCTGAAGTATACCTTGTCTAATATTAATATGGCCACTCCAGCTATCTTTGAACTGTGTTAACATGCTATATAATTTTCCATCTTTTTACTCTTAACCTATTGGTGTCTTCATATTTAAAGTGTGTTTCTTGTAGACAGCATAGAGTCTGGTCCTGCCTTTTAAAAAAATGCAATCTGGTAATTCCTGTATTTTAATTGGGAATGTTTGGATCACTTATATTTAATGTGTTTATTAATATAGTTACTTTGAAGTCTGTCATCTTATTTGTGTTCTATTTCCCGTCGTTCTTTGTTTCCTTTTTCCTTTTGTTCTGACTTTTTTGGATTAATTTTCATTTTATTTTTTAAAATTGACAAATAATAATTGTATATATTCATGGAAAGCATAGTGATGTTTCAATACATATAATGTATAGTGATCAGATCAGGGTAATTAGCATATTCATCATCTCAAACATTTTATTGTTTCTTTGTTTTGGGAACATTCAGTATCCTCCTGGATTAATTTTTTTAATAATTCTATTTTATTTATTATTATTGTTTTTGAGACAGAGCCTTGCTCTGTTGCCCAGGCTGGAGTGCAGTGGTGCAATCTCAGCTTACTACAACCTCTACCTCCCGGGTTCAAGTGATTCTCGTGCCTCAGCCTCCCGAGTAGCTGAGATTACGGGTATGCACCACCACGCCCAGCTAATTTTTTTGTATTTTAGTAGAGATGGGGTTTCGCTATATTTGGCCAGGCTGGTCTTCAACTCCTGGCCTCAAGTAATCTGCCTGTCTTGGCCTCCCAATGTGCTGGGATTACAGGTGTGAACCACCACGCCTGGCCTGTGATTCCATTTTATATGGTGCACTATTAGTAAATTATTAGCTATAACTGTTTGTTCTGTTATTTTAGTAGTTATTTTAGGGTTTATAAGGTATATGTTTATTTATTGCAATCTATCTTCAAGCAAGTACTATTATACCACTTCATGTACAGTATAAGCTTAGAATAATGTACTTCTGTTGCCTCCTTCCTATTCTTTATACTTATTGTCATGTATCTTACTTTTGCTTATGTTTTAAAATCCAGACTACATTGTTAGTGTTTTTGTATGGTCAATTTTATGTAAGGAGTTTCAAAAAATTTTTAAAAAATTATATATTTACTTACATAGTTACCATTTTTGGTATTCATCATTCCTTTGTCTGGAACCAGATTTCCATCTGGTATTATTTTTTTCTGCCCGAAGCCCTCACTTTAACATTTCTTATAGTGTGGATCTGCTGGTGATTAATTTCCTCAGCTTTTGTAAGTCTTTACTTCACTTTCATTTTTCAATATTTTAACTAAGTATAGTGAAAATATTTTATTGTCAATTACGTTGAGAATGTTTTTCTTTCAGTAGGCTAATGATGTTTATCTGCTGTCTTCTTGATTGCCATATTTCTGACAAGAAATCTGTGCCATCCTTATTTTGATTTCTCTCTACATGACATGCCTTTTTCTTTTTTCTTTGGGTGCCTTTAAGATGTTCTTTTGCTAACTGGTCTTTACAAATTTGATTATAACATGTAATTTTCTTCAGTTTTTTTTTTTCTTTTTTTTTTTTGGTGTGGGTGTGTGCTTGGATTCTTTGAGCTTCTTAGATCTATGGCAAGTTTAGAAAATTTTTGGTCGTTGTTTCTTCAGATATTTTTTCTGTCCCCACCTCACTCCTGTTATTTGGTGACTCAAATTATATACATAATAGGCTGCTTGACCTTGTCCCACAACTCACTGATACTTTTTTAAAATTAATAGACTTTATTTTTTAGAGCAGTTTTAGATGTACAGAAAAATCATGTAGATAATTCCCATATGTCCATTCTCCCCTCTCCTTCCTATAGCTTTTTTAGTGTTATACATTAGTTACAATTGATGAACCAACACTGATCCATTATTGCTAACTCAAGTCCATAGTTTACATTAGGGTTCACTCTTTGTGTTGTACATTCTAGGTATGTTGACAAATGATGATATCATATATCTACCATTACAGTATCATACAGAATCATTTCTCTGCCTTGAAAACAATCCCCTATGCTCCACCTAAATGTACCTGCTTCCCCTAAATGTACCTGCTTCCCCTAAATGTACCTGCTTCCCCTCTCCCTGGAAACCACTATCTTTTATTGTCTGTCTAGATTTGCCTTTTCCAGAATGTCATATAGTTGGAATCACACAGTATGTAGCCTTTTTCAAACTGATTTCTTTCATTTAGCAATACTCATTTATACTTCCTTCAGGTCTTATTATGGCTTGATAGCTCATCTCTTTTTATCCATCAATAATATTCTATTGTATATATGTTTGTTTTTACCATTCACCTATTGAAGGACATCCTGGTTGCTTCCAGTTTGGGGCAATTATGAATAAAGCCATAATAAACATTCATATACAGGTTTTTATGTAGACATATGTGTTCAACCCAATTACTTAAGTACCTAGGAACATGGTTGCTGGATTGTATGGTAAGAGAATGTTTAATTTTGTAAGAAACTACCAAATTGTCTTCTAGAGTGGCTGCAACATTTTGTATTCCCACCAGCAATAAATGAGAGTTCCTGAGAGTTCCTGTTGCCTCGGATCCTTGTTAGCCTCTGGTATTGTCAGATTTTTAGTCATTCTGCTAAATGGTATATAGTGCTATCCCATTGTTGGTTTGATTTGCAGTTTCCTAAAGACATATGATGTTGAGCATCTTTTCTATGTTTATTTGTAATTTATGTATCTTCTTTGATGAGATGTCTGCTTAGATCTTTTGCCATTTTAAATTTGGCTTGTTTGTTTCTTATTGTTGAGTTTTAAAAGATCTTCACATATTTTGGATGCCAGTCTTTTATGTGTTTGGCAAATATTTTCTCCTACTGTGTGACTTGTCTTTGCATTCTCTTATCAAGGACTTTCTCAGATCAGAAGTTTGTAATTTTTAATGAAGTCCAATTTTTCAAGTATTTCTTTCATGAATCAGGGTTTTGGTGTTGTATAATAAAAGTCATTGCCAAACCCAGGGTTATTTAGATTTTCTCCTATGTCATCTTCTAGTAGTTTACATTTAGGTCTATGATTCATTTTGAGCAAATTTTTATGAAAGGTGTAAGGTCTGTGTCTAGAACCTTCCCTCCCTCCATCTCTCCCTCCCTCCCTCCCTTCCTTTCTTCCTTCCTTACTTTCTTCCTTCCCTGTTGTTTCTGCATGTGATGTTGCATGTCCACTTGTTTCGGCACCATTTGTTGAAAACACTACCCCTTGCTCCATTGCCTTTGCTACCCTTGAATTGCCTTTGCTCCTATGTCAAAGATCAGTTGACTACTTGTATAGGTCTATTTCTGGTCTCTGTTCTGTTCCATTGATCTATTCATCTATTCTTTTACTAATACTACACTGTCTTGATTACTGTAGCGTTACAGTGAGTCTTGAATCAGATATTATTGGTCCCCTGACTGTTTTTCCTTAGTACTGTGTTGGCTATTCTGGGTCATTCATCTTTCCATATAAATTTTAGAACCAGTTTGTCAAAATCCACAAAATAACTTGCTGAAATTTTGACTGGGATGGCATTGAATCTATAGATCAACTGACGTCTTGGCAATATTGAGTCTTCCTCTTCATAAACATGAAGTATCTATTTATTTAGATTTCTTTTGATATCTTTAATCAGTTTTGTAGTTTTCGTCATGTAGATCTTATACATATTTTATTAGATTCATAACCAAGTATTTTTTAATGCTAATATAAATGGTATTGTGTTTGAAATTTCAAATTTCAGTGGTTCGTTGCTGGTATATAGGAAAACAATTGACTTATGTATAAACCTTTTATCCTGGCAAGCTTGCTATAATTGATCATTGGTTCAGGTTTGTTAATTCTTTAGGATTTTTCTATATAAAAATCATGTCACCTGTGAACAAGGACAGTTTTCATTTATTTCTTTCCAATCTGTGTATATTTATCTCCTTTTCTTGTCTTAGGTCATCAGCTAGAACTTCCAGTACAATGTTGAATAGGAATGATGAGAGAGTACATCCTAATCTTAGGGGGAGACATCCAGTTTCTCATCATGAAGTACGACAGTAGCTGTAGGTTTTTTATAGATGTTCTGTATTAAACTGAGGAATTTCTCCTCTATTTCTAGTTTGCTGAATTTTTATCGAGATGGAGGTTGGATTTTGTCAAATGCTTTTTATCCATTTATTCATATGAGCATATGATTTTTTTCTTTAGCTTCTTGATGTGACAGATTATATTTATTGACTTTTGAATGTTTTTTAAAACTGTACAGATACTGTGATGATTTTAATTGCATATGAAATTAACTTCGTTATCTTCAGGCTTATCACATCAAAGGTTTACTTGCAAAATTGGACCTTTGTTCTTATTCAGTAAATCCGTGTTACAAGATGAGCCAGGATTTAGATATGTAAATATATGTAACTTTTTAGTATCTTTCATTTCAAATTAGAACCACATATTTGGAATTTACTGCTGTAGTCTCGTGATAATGGCTGACATGAGAAGACATTAAAAAAACCCTGAAGTTATCCATGCTTGCTGTTTATTTAGTCTTCTTGTTTGGAACAAAAAGTAAATAATTCACAAATACTACCACCTAAGCCCCTGTTTCAAATGAAACATCAGTCTTCAGCTTGCAAAAGAATGTCTTTATAATTAAGGAAATAGCAGCAGAAAACCTATGCTAGTTGCTTTTTTCTTCCTGGAGAAGTTGACAGGATAACTGCAATCCTAGGGGCATCTCTGTGTTGAATCTGAGACGTAGAACAAAAAGAAAAGTGGCCTTTTCCATTCCAAGCCATGGAGGTAATGTGTAGAGAAGAGACAACCACATTTCAAGAACAGAGAAAGTAACTGGATAAAAGAAGCAGGACTGCCCGCTTTAGGAGACAACATAGAGATACTTGCCACGTCCCGAGTTCAGATTTTTTTTTTTTTGAGATGCATATCAAGGCACCTAAAGTTCGAGAAAAGATGTTCTTCCTGTGTTAAGGAAGCTGCACTGGGGTTAATTTAAAAAGATGTCAGAAGTCGCAGAGAAGCGGTTCTCAAGCTTTTACGGAACACTGTCCTGTTTGAGAATCTGCTGATATTATGGACCTTCTTCTTTCTACAAAAATGTGTAATTGTGCATAAAATTTCCAATAGTTTATAGTCACCTACTTAAGACCTTTGCTTTAGAGTAGATTATTACTCCCCGCTGTAAGGTAGGGAAGAAAAATATTCCATTCCTTTCCTCTGGTTGATATCTTTTTTTCTTCTCCTTGCACAGTCCAACAGACACACTCGGCCTCCCAGAAAGCAGCTGGCCCCCTGGCCAAGAGGCCAGTTTGCAGCAGCGTGATCATTCCACCATCTTTGCTGCCATTTGAATCTTGAATCAGCTTTGCGTACCTGTAATAAATTCCACTTAGCCATGGCATGTAGTTTTTTAAAAATACATTGTTGAATTTGATTTGCTAATGTTTTGCTGAAGATTTTTGTATTTATGTTCTTGAAAGATGTTGATCTGAAGTCTTCCTTTCTTGTAATTTCTTTATCTGGTTTTGATATTAGGGTAATGCTGGACTCACAGAATAAGTTAAGAAGTGTTCTGGAAGAGATGATAGAGGATTATCATTTCTTCCTTAAGTGGTACAGTTTACCAGTGAAATCAGCTGGACCTGATGTTTTCTGTTTTGGAAGGTTATTAATTCTGGTTAAATTTTGTTAAAGATACAGGCCTATCAGATTGTCTATTTCTCTTTGTGTGAGTTTTGGTAGATTGTGTCCTTCAAGTAAATGGTCAATTTCAATTAAGTTATTAAATTTTGGACATAGAGTTGTTGATGCTCTTTTTATTTTTTTCTTTTTTCTTCTGTGTAATTATGGGTAATTTCTATGTCTTCAAGTTCACTAATCTTTTTTTCTGCGATGTCTCATCTGCTCTTAATCTTATACAATATATTTTTCCTCTTAAACATTATAAATTTTATCTCTAGAAGTTTGATTTGGGTATTTGGTATATCTTCCATATCTCTACCTAATGTTGAATTTATAGAGCATAATTTTCATAACTGTTTTAATGTACTTTGATGATTTTTTTTTTTTTGAAATGGAGTCTTGTTCTGTTGCCCAGGCTGGAGTGCAGTGGCACAGTCTTGGCTCACTGGAGCCTTTGCCTCATGGGTTCAAGCCATTCTCCTACCTCAGCCTCATGAGTACCTGGGATTACAGGTGCCTGCCATGACACCTAGCTTATTTCTGTATTTTTAGTAGAGATGGGGTTTTGCCATGTTGGCCAGGCTGGTCTCAAACTCTTGGCCTCAAATGATCCACCTGCCTTAGCCTCCCAAAGTGCTGGGATTATAGGCATAAGCCACTGCACCCAGCCTTTCTTTGCTAATTCTTACATCTGTGTCAGTTCTTGGTCAGTTTGATTTATTGATTATTGTCCTCATTATAGTTTGTGTTTTTGCCACCTCTATGCATGCTTGATAATCCCTGATGATTGAATGCCATATGTGAATTTTACTTTGTCAGGTGTTTAATATGTTTGTATTTTTATAAATATTTGCTCTGGAATGCAATTTACTTGGAAATAGTTTGATCTTCCTGGGGTCTTGCTTTTATTATTTGTTAGGAAGGTTTAGAGCGATGCTTAGTCTAGGACTAATTATTCCACATGACTAAAGAAAGACCCTTGTGAGTGCTCCACCCAATGATCCGTGAATTGTTCGATTTTAACGTCCGCCTGGTGTCAGTAAGCACTGTTCTTAGCCCTGTGTGAGTGCGAGATACTACTGCTTTGAATCCTTTCAGATGTTTGTTTGTTTGTTTGTTTCCACAGCCTCAGGTTTCTTTTATATTTTGTTTGTTTTAGAGATGAGTTCTCACTGTGTTGCCCAGGCTGGAGTGCAGTGGCTATTCACAGGCATGATCATCACACACTACAGTCTTGAACTCCTGAGCTCAAGCGATCCTCCCACCTCAGCCTCCTGAGTAGCTGGGACTGTAGGTGTGTGCCCACCATGCCTGGCCTAGCCTCAGGTATTTTTATTGCATACATGAGTTGACCGATACTCTGCCGTTTCCATGAGGGAGACCCACTGCAGATTTCTGGTGCTCTCTCTCTGGGCAGTTACCTTTTCTCTGCAATCTGCTCTAGAAACTCTGCTTTTGTCTCCCTTCCTGGAGTGGAAAATCTTAAGACAAAAGGGAGATCGTAGGTAGATATCAAGAAGAATCTAGTAGAAGAAATTTCTTACTCTCATATGCATCCACAGGCCAATGGAGATATTCAGCCCCAGAAAGTAAAAAGAAGCTTGCTTTCCAAATGATTCATCAGTTAGTGTTTTCTTTCAATGAATGGAAGATTTTAACACAAACAAGAGTTTGTAGGCAGACATTGAGAAGAAGCTCTATCTCCTCAATATAGGGAGTCTGCTGGGATCTGCCTCAGTTCGCCTGCGCTGGGTTATGGTTGGGAATCTCTGTTAATACGGTGATTGGGGAAAATTACAGGGTTTGTCTTATTTTGCATCTCTCAGAGATCACTGTCCTTTGTTGTTGTCTGGTGTCCAGTGTCTTGAAAACTGCTATTTCATTATTTTATTTATATATAAATATATGTATTTTATATATAAAATATTAGATATATGTATATATATATATTTGAGACAGGGTCTCGCTCTGTTGCTCAGGCTGGAGTGCAGTGGTGTGATCTTGGCTCCCTGCAACCTCCGCCTCCTGGGCTCAAGCAATTCTTCTGCCTCAGCTTCCCAAGTAGCTGGGATTACAGGCACCTGCCACCATGCTGGGCTAATTTTTGTATTTTTAGTAAAGATGAGTTTTCACCATGTTGGCCAGGCTGGTATCGAACTCCTGGCCTCAAGTGATCCACCCACCTTGGCCTCCCAAAGTGCTGGGATTACAAGTGTGAGCCACTGTTCCCTGGCCTATTTCATATATTTTTAATGGTTTCTTGGTTGTTTTCAGTGGTAGGATAAATCAAGATTCTGTTACTTCATCTTGGCTAGAAGCAGAAATTCTTTAAGTTTTTATTGTGAGAATTTTCAAAGATACAGAGTCGTTAAAAGAATGATACAATGATTATTTGTATACTTAGCACCTGGATTCAGGAACTGTGTGTGTGAGTGTGTGTGTGTGTGTGTGTGCACGCACGCCTGCCATGTTTATATATTTGCTGGACCATTTGAAACTAAATTGTAGAGGTATCAGGACATTTCACCACTAAATCACTAACTACATTGGCCTGAAACTCCTAAAAATAAGGGCAGTCTCCTGCATAATCACACCACCAGTATCACACCTAAGAAGATGAAATCATTCCCTTTATCATCTGTATTAGTTATCTGCTGCTGGGTAACAAAATACTCCAAAACATAGCATTTAACACCACAAATATTTTTATCTCACAGTGCCCGACGGTTAGAAATCTGAAAGCAGCTTAGCTGGATGGTTCTGGCTCAGAGTCTCTCATGAGGTTGCAATAAAGCTTCCAGCTGAAGCAGACGTCTCCAGGCTTGTTCAGTGGCTGATGTCTGGAAGCCTGAGGTTCTTTCTCCGTTGCCCGATCTAGTCTACCTGAGCATTGTCACAACGTGGCAGATGCCTTCACCAAAAGCAAAGGATCTTTGTGTGTTTGTGTGTGGTCTGTTTGTTTATTTGTTTTCTGGTCGAGGCCCTGGGGTTTGCTGAGCCTTCCCTATTATAGATGAAAAGACCAAGGCCTAATGAGGGGAAACGTCTTGCCTGAGGACACCCAGCCATTCTCTGCTTAGATGCATATGCATTATGAAACCCAAAGGTCCTCTGGCACTGTGCGCTCCAGAACAGAGCCCTCCGCAAACACTGTATTTGAGCTTCACATTTGAAATATGGATTTGAGCATTGTAATAAACAGAACAAAAACCCTTGGATATATTGCATACTAAATGTTAGCATCTGGAGATGGCCAGCACAGTTTCTTCTGCCATTAACTCAGTTGTCAGTAAGTTTGACACTGAAGTTTGTCCTGCTATCTCTGTACAAGTAAAGAGGACCCTAAAAATTGCAAGCAAAGCAAGGTTCTAAATACTGCTAGGATTTTCAACTGCTATTACTTGTTGACCTG
This sequence comes from Homo sapiens, assembly GCF_000001405.40. NCBI lineage: Eukaryota > Metazoa > Chordata > Mammalia > Primates > Hominidae > Homo > Homo sapiens. The sequence goes on from NT_187652.1 coordinate 55,464, forward strand.
GGATTTTCTTAATATATTTGCAACTTTAAAAAGTTTAAAAGTTTTGAAGCTTAAAGTCAGTGCTGAGGTTGAGACATGACTAAATCTGTCATCCATGATATCTAATTTCTTTGTTTGTTTGTTTGTTTTTTCAGACAGAGTCTCGTTCTGTCACCCAGCCTGGTGTGCAGTGGTTCAAGCCATTCTCCTGCCTCAGCCTCCCGAGTAGCTGGGATTACAGGCGCCCACCACCACGCCCAGCTAATTTTTGTATGTTTGGTAGAGACGGGGTTTCACCATGTTGGCCAGGCTGGTCTCAAACTCCTGACCTCAAGCGACCCACCCGCCTCGGCCTCCCAGAGTTTTGCGATTACAGGCGTGAGCCACCACGCCCAGCGGAATTTCTTATTCTTTTTGATCTATCAAAACAACCTCATTGTTCTCAATGACTGACCTTATAATAAGTAAATGTTATAGAACATACAGTGTCATTTTCCTTTTCCAGTAGAGGAAGATTACATTTCCCAGAGTTTCTTGCCTTTGAATAGAGGCCTGTGACTGGATGCTGAGGGCCCCTGGGATGTGGGCAGACATGGAGTTTGTGGCTTCTTCCCCTTACACAGAGGCCAGAGCTGTATCATGGCAGAACCACAGATGGTGGGAGGGTGGGTCTCTGGACCACTGGTTGAGGGGTAGAGAAGATCTGCTAAGAAGAGTTCCCTGACCTGCACCGAACAGTGACAGGAGCAAGAAGCAAACCTTTGTGTGTTAAGCCACTGAGATATTGGGGTTTATTTATTACAGCAGATTCTGGTCTATCCTGACTAATACTGGATCAAACAAATAACATTTTTTGCAAATCAAAACCACAATGAGATACCATCTCACGCCAGTTAGGAAGGAGGTTATTAAAAAGTCAGGAAACAACAGATGCTGGCGAGGCTTTGGAGAAATAGGAACACTTTTACGCTATTGGTGGGAGTGTAAATTAGTTCAACCATTGTGGAAGACAGTATGGTGATTCCTCAAGGATCTAGAACCAGAAATACCATTTGACCCAGCAATCCCATTACTGGGTATATACCCAAAGGATGATAAAGCATTCTACTATAAAGACACATGCACAGGTATGTTTACTGCAGCACTATTTACAATAGCAAAGACTTGGAACCAACCCAAATGCCCATCAATGATAGATTGGATAAAGAAAATGTGGCACATACACACCATGGAATACTATGCAGCCATAAAAAATGAGTTCATGTCCTTTGCAGGGACATGGATAGAGCTGGAAACCATCATCCTCAGCAAACTTAACACAGGAACAGAAAACCAAACACCGCATGTTCTCACTCATAAGTGGGAGTTGAGCAATGAGGACACATGGACACAGGGAGGGGAACATCACACACCGGGGCCTGTTGGGGGGTGAGGGGCCAGGGGAGGGACAGCATTAGGACAAATACCTAATGCATGTGGGGCTTAAAACCTAGATGATGGGTTGATAGGTGCAGCAAACCACCATGACACATGTATACCTATGTAACAAACCTGCATGTTCTGCACATGTATCCCAGAGCGTAAAGTAAAATAAAAATTAAACACAAGTAACATTTCTAATAAAATACAGCTCTTATCTGTTCTGTGTTTTGGGTTCCATGTATTGTTTATTGAAAAGTAAAAAAGTTTTCTGCTACAAAAGGTATCAAAATCAGCAATTGAGTTTGAAGTCAGAATCTTACAGGTAGGGAACTCAAGGGCTGGAGAGGAGAAATAATTTGTCCAGGGTCACATAGCTGAGGCAGGGCTAAAATCTCGCAGAGGGACATCTATAGTTTTATCCTGTCCTTTCTTTTGGTAACAGCAGCTGAATTTCCTCATCTTCCTGCTCAGGCCACATGCTTCATATGGGACTCATTCTCATCCCTCAGCTCCAGGCCTGGTGAATCTATATCGTCTATCACCCAAGCCTCAGTGATTAGCTTGAGGATGGATGCATGACCCAGTCCAGACCAATCACAGCGAATCCCTGGGTTTTTGCTGGAGCTGCTCTCCGTGGATAGTTGAATCAATAGGATATAAGTCTGGAGCTCCTGGGTGCTATCTCAGTATCTCTAGGTTGAGAATGCAGCTAACACAGAGGAAAGCAGAGCTGAAATGTGGAGAGAGCCAGACGATGCTTGATGGTGTTTGAGCACCTGGATCCAGCCATGCCTGAAGTTGGAGCTTTTAGTTACATGAACCAATAAGTTCCCTTTTGGTTTATGTCAGTTTTGACTGGTATTCTGACCTACACATACGGTTTTGTGCTTTTTTTCACCAAGGGACAGGAATTACTGTATTTTTCTGTTTTACTGATAAGGAAATGGAGGCTCAGTCCATTTGTAATCAGATGCTTCAAGTCTCACCAGATTCAAGGCTTGATGACCTCTCTTTTGTGTTGGGAATGCCCCACACAGGAACTCTTGTTTGCTTCTGCCCCCTGCTTCCGTGCAGACACACTCTATCCTGTTTCACAAGGGGGTGGTAAACCACTACAGAGTAGGTGCTAAAACATCGCTGAAATGAAATAAGGAAAGAATACCCCTTTAAAGAAACGGTGTAAAGTGTATAATGAGGCGATTCATCAAAAAATGCAAATGACTTAGCCCTAAAAGATACCAACTTCACTAATAATTAAGAAATACAAATAAAACAGCTATCATCTTTCACTCATGAGTTTGTCAAAGAGCTAAAGGTTTCCTGACAGCTGAGGGCAGGGAAATAGTCTCTTTCCTGGGCTGAGGCAGTAGGAGGGGAAGGGGCACAGCCTCTTTGGAGGGCACTGTGGCAATGTCTGTGAAATGTAAACAGTGTACAAGCCATTTGCCCTCCAGTTGAGAATGTATTCTACAAAGAAACTCCAACAAATACGCAGAGATGCAAGTAAAAGACTGTCCAGTAGAGAATTATTTTTAATAGCCAAAACCAAAACTGAAAGAAAACAAAACAAAACTGGAAACAAATGTCCACCAAAATGGGTCTACACGAACCCCAGTACATCCAAGACATGGAAAACATTTTAGCTGCAAAAAAGAATGAGGTAGCCCCAGATGTGTGGGGGTGGAAAGGTGCCCAGGGTATACCATGTCGTTAGGGGAGAACCGGATGTGTGATATGATGCTATTTATGCTGAAAATGAAATCTTACCAGAGTTAAGATGAAGATAAGTTGTGAAGTAGAATTAGGGGGTCAGGGGACTTCGTTTTCAATGAATTAATCTTTACAATTTGATTTTTTAAAATTATGAAAATAAGCACCTTACTATTTGTTTACTCATTTGAATACCCAATAATGCACAAAAATTCAGAAGGTACAAGGTGGAGATGTATAATTCTGCAGTTCTCTCAACTATCTGATACAGAATTAATTTATTCCCGGCATGCATTTAGTGTATTTAGAAGAAGGAGGAGAAGTGAGTGAGAAAGGGTGGGGGACACAGGCAGCGGCTGCTCTGCGGTCGGCAGCTGTGGTCAGGTGTGGAGGTGGGCTGCCCTTTTTGGGGTCACTCTATCCTTGGTTTCCTGGCATCAGGCCTTCCTAACCCCGCTGGAGCAGTAGTGAAGGACTTTGGTGATGCCCTGCCCATGGCTCCTGGCTGTGGTTCTTCTTGGTCTGGGTCCCACATCTCAGGGCTACAGGCAGTGAGGCGCTGGAATCCCCCAGGACTGTCCTGCTTCTTGCCAGCTCCCCTCCAGCCAGGCCTGCCTGGCGGATGCCCAAACACTCATCAGGCAAGACAGGTCTGTAGGCAAATATTGATCCCTGTGCGGCTGCGGGCGGTGAGGGGGCAGCAGGTGTGGCACAGAGTCCTGTTTACCTGCCGCTGAGCCTGGCGGGCGCTGCCTATTTGCTGAGCTCCCTTCCCGGCCTGGCTCAGGTGAGGCGAGCTCTGCCCTCTTTCTCCCTCCCTCCTCCCTCTGCTGTGCTGTTCAAGGGGGCTAGTCATTCTTCCCACCTCTTTGCTGGGCTGACTGCTGCTCGTTCTTGTGTCTCAGCTTCCACACTCCCTCTTCAGGGCCTCCCTGTCTACCCTCACTCCAGAGTGGCCGTTGCCACGGCCCACAGTTCCCCACCTACCAGGTTAGTGTTGCTGTTCTCTGCTAGATGCCAGATGAGCAGAGACAGGGACAGTTTTGCTCACCACTATTTCTCCAGCCCCTCCCTTAGGGCCTGGCACTCGGGAGGTGCTCCTCAAGTATTTGAGTGTCAGCCTGAATGAAGGCAGGCAGAGAGCCCTGCATGGGCAAAGGCACAGAGGTGTGACAGAGGGTAGTGAGGGGAGGGGGGCGGTGACGATGTATGGTGGGGAGCGGCAGGACAGGAGGCTGGAAAGTGAGGTGGGGTACTGAGCACCTCCCTGTCCTCCCCTTACTCTGAAAGCCTTTGAATGCCACATCTGGGAGTTCAGATTTTATCTGGTCAGAAATGGGAAATTGTTGGGTAAAGAAAATGCAAATAATACAACCAATGAGAGAATGACAAGCCAGATCCTTCATGCTGAATGGTAAATTCTGAAGTTCCTACAGTGGCCTGTGAGGCCCTGTAGCATCTGCTGCCCACCACACCCCTTCCCCACCTCCTTCCCCTACTCGCTGCAGCCACACTGGCCTGCTTGCTGTTTCCTGAACTTCACAGGTATAATTCAGCCTCAGGGCCTGCTGTGGTCCAACTGTGTCCTTCTGAATCTATGTTGAAACCTAATCCCCAGTGTGAGGGTATTAGGAAGGGGGCCTTTGGGAGGTGAGTAGGTCATGAGGGTGGAGCCCTCACAAATGGAATTAGTGCCCTCATCAAAGAGGCCCACCTTGTCCTTTCCACTGTGTGGGGACATGGTGAGAAAGTGCCATCTGGGAACCAGAAAGCAAGCTGTCTGTCGTTAGACACCGAATCTGCTGGTGCCCTGATCTTGGACTTCGCAGCTTCCAGAATGGTTAGAAGTCAATTACTTGTTTATAAGCTTCCCATTTTATGGTATTTTGTTAGAGCAGCCCCAACAGACTAAGGGCCTTTGCACTTGCTGTTTCTCTGCCCAGATGCTTTTCCCTTGGATATCATGGTTTATCTCCTTTCTTTGTTTGAACCTTAGCCTCCTATGGCACCTTACCAGAGAGGCCTTCCATGACACCATGAACAAAGGAGCGTCACCCCATGCCCCCATGCCCTGATCCTGCTTTATTTTCCTCTCTAGTATTTGTGTCTGTTTACTTGTCTAGTGTATGTCTTTTCCCCAGGGATGTCAGCTCTAAGAAGGCAGGAATATGTCATTTCTCTGGTTCCCTGCTGTGTCCTCTGAGCCCAGAACATGTACCTTTAGGCTCAATAAATGCTTGTAGAATAAATGAATGAATGACTGTGTAGTATTAAGCTAAGCCACCCCAGTCCTGGAATGATGTTAACTGTTGCTCACATGCTCTGTCCTGTTGCCAGATCCCACACACAGCTTTGAGCTCCTTTGCTCTGCACATCAGCCAGGTGGGGAGTGCAGGTCAACATTATTATCTGCCTTAAAAAATAATTATCAATGGCAAAAAACATCATGATCACCTGGACAGAAACCAAAATGAAATGCCTGCAGGCTCCTGACTTGAGCAAATCAATTTCTAAAATATGATGTGCAGGAATTGTGACAAAGAGGATGGAGTCTGCATTTCGAGACAGGTTTTCCCTGTGTTCAATTCCCAGCTCAGCTATTTACTTGCTCTGTGACCTGGGACCATTCAGGCCCCTTCTGTGAGCCTCAGCTATCCCTTCTGTCAATGGAGATAATTATTCCCTTGAAGAGATCTAGTGAAGAAGGCATTTGGACATAGGCATTTCCTGGGCTGCACCATCTACTGTGTATCCTTTTTGGTGCCTGCATAATATTCCACCAAGTAGAGTCACAGGCTTTGTTTAATCAGGTGGCTATTTCCAGACGTGGTAACAATAGCCTCTATTTACTGATCCTGCTAAGCGCCAGGCCAAGCACTGCACCTTCCTCATTTCTCCTTCAGTCCTCACTGCAGCCCCATCAGGTGGGTGCTGTTAATATTTCCATTTTGCACATGAGGTTAGGCAGCTTGCCCAAGGCCACGCAGCCCCACTAAATGGAAGATATGGAGTTGAAAGCCAAGTTGTCAAATCCAAGAGCTTTCATCTCTGTGCTTTGGTGGGACTTTTGTCCCCCATTTTGCAGATGGAAAATGAGGCTTGGGGAGGCCAGCAACTTGCCCAGGGCAACAGCGAGCAGAGCTGGGATGAGTCAGAATCCAAGTCTACCAATTGAGATGGAGTCTCACTCTGTCACCCAGGCTAGAGTGCAGCAGCGCAATCTCGGCTCACTGCAACCTCCACCTCCTGGGTTCAAGCAGTTCTCCTGCCTCAGCCTCCCGAGTAGCTGGGACTACAGGCATGCACCATGACACCGGCTAGTTTTTGTATTTTTAGTAGAGATGGTGTTTCACCATGTTGGCCAGGCTGGTCTCAAAATCCTGACCTCAAGTGATCCACATGCCTGGGCCTCCCGAAGTGCTAGGATTACAGGCGTGAGCCACTGCACTGGCTCAAGTCTACCAGTTCTTAACTTGTGCTTTCCTCCAGACCTACCTTCGTACGCTGGGACAGTATCCATGGGTCTCACTTTTCCTGAAGCGGGACAGTTAAGTGGCTGAGGAGGGAGTGGCCCTCTAGTTTCTGCCCCATACCTAGCTGAAGGCTTCAGGATAAGGAGAATAGTCACTGGTGAGCAGAGGAAACCTATTTCTGCTCTGGAAATGGCTCTTCTCTCCCTTTCTCTTCCCCCACCTCCCCCTGCTACCCCCCAGAGTTCTGTACCAATTAATCAGCAGACAATGGAAGCTCCAGCTGGGACCAAGTGGGCTGGACTCATTAGTGCAGAATGACATTAATATCAAAAATCTTCTGAGACAAATGCAATGATTCAGGGCAGACGCCTATGGAGGGCTGGCTCAGAAGCTGGTGTGGGTGATGGTACCGTGGTCCAAGACAGAGAGAGCCGTGCATATGTGGGTGGACAACCAGGCCGGGTCCCCGGGATGCCTGAGGGGAAGAGGGGGCAAAGCAGCTCTGCCTTGGGCAGGGTCCCTGTCCTCTTGTGCAGCCTGACTTCTCCCTCCTCCCTGCTTGGGGGGCCTGCATGGGTCACTGAGTCACCGAAACCCTGGGCAGGCTGGAGAGGCAGCGAGGCATGGAGGCCTTCAGGGCTGGATGGGCTGGGGCCGGGTCCCAGCTGCATCTCCTCTCCCCTCTCCCTGTGGCTCCAGCAACTCGCTTCCTGTCTTTGGGCCTCTGTGTTTCTTCATCTCAACTATGGGGTGATGATAGCTGCCTCTCAGGCTGGTGAGAGGATCATGGAATGAGGTGGACACATTTTGTAGAATGTGGACTAGAGGGGAGCGAAGGGCATCTTCACCATCTCCTCCTTCTTCATTGTTCTTTACCGAGTGGGGATAAATATCAAAAGTCTTCCTTTAGGGGCAACAGGAATCAAACCAGCTCCCGCAGGGAGCCTTAGAGATAGTTTTGCTTGGTTCCTATGCTCTTCATTTCTTCACTCACTCAGATATTCATTCATTGAGTCATCCACTCACACGTGTACCGAGCACCTCTCACATTGGCATCGATGTGGCACTGGGGATAGAAAGGTGGATGGGACACCATCGCTACCTCGGAGGGACTCTTCGGCTAGTGAGGAGGCTCTTCCTGCCTGGAGGACACGCGTGTGGTCAGGGAGAGCTTTGCAGAGGAGAGGCCACAAAGCTGTCCTTGTGGTTTAAGGAGTTTGCCGGTGGCCTGGGGTGGGGCAGTAGGGACATCATTTATTTGAAAAATATTTATTGACTAACTACTACATGCCAGGCACTGTCGTCAGTGTGGGGACACAGCTGTGGACAGCAGAGATGAAACTCTGCCTTCAAGGAGACGGCTTTCTGGTGGAAGGTCATAGAAGCCACCGAGCGGTGAAGGGGCGGTGACAGGGCTGCTGTTTTGTACCGGCTGGTCAGGACAGGCCTCGGCGAGAGATGCCATCTGGGCAGAGATCTGCAGGGGCCAGGGGAGTGGCCCACAGGGATACCAGGAGCAGAGGGGATGGCAGGACGCATTCCTGAAGTGGAGGAACTCTCTCTGGGCTCCGGGAAAAGCAGGACACCCAAGCTGCAGGGGAGGTGGGGGGCGTGAGGTACGATGGGGTGCGGGGGTGTCCCCGGTCATCTCAGGCTTTGTAGGTCTGGCTGCTGGAAAATTACAGGATGCCCAGTTACACTGGAATTTCAGATAAGCAGCAAATAATTTTTTAGTATAAGTGTGTCCCACGCAAGTTTGCCTTTCTCTGAAATTCAAAAAAAGATTTTTAGTTCCTAATATCCCTTTCTTCTTTTTAAAACATTGTTTTAATTGACCAATAAAAATTGCATATTCTTATGGCCTACAATATGATGTTTTGGAATATGTATACATTTATGGGATGACTAAATTGAGCTAATTAACATATGCATTACTTTCCACCTTGTTTTTTTTTTTCCTGTGGTGAGAACACTTAAAATCTACTCTTAGCGATTTTCAAGAATGCAGTACACTGTCATTAGCTATGCTGCCACGACGTACCATGGGGCTCTTTCACTTATTCTCCCTAACTGGAACTTTGTGTCCTTTGACCCACAGCTCCCCAATTCTCACTCCCTGTCCGCCAGCCTCTGGTAACCACCATTCTACTTTCTGCTTCAATGAATTTGGCTTTTTCAGAGTTCGCCTGTCCATGTGAGATCACGTGGTATTTGTTTTTCTGTGTCTGGCTTATTTCACTTAACATGTCCTTGAAATTCAAACCTAACGGGCATCCTGCCTTTTTGTTTGTGAAATCTGGCCACCCTAGCTGTGGCCTCTACAAGACTTTGGCTTTACTCTGAGATGGAAGTCACTGGAAGCTTTGGGGTGCAGGAGAGACGGGGCGTGACCAGTTTTAAAGGGTCCTGGGGCGTGAGCGGACTGTGGCTGGCAAGGGGGGGAGCCGCTGGAGGTGAGAGGTGGGATGGAGGCTCCAGGAGGCAGTGTGCAGGTGCTGAGGGGAGTCTGCATGTGTTTTGAAGACAGCTGACCCCATTTGCTAATGGGTTGGTTGTGGGATGGCAGGTGGGGGACATGGAGGACTCCAAGGCTTTTGGCCTGAGCAACCGATAAGATTGCAGGAGGATTGTGTGTGTGTGTTTGCGTGTGCTTTTGGACACGGTTCAGAGATGCCCACTGGACAACCAGGAGGAGACATGCAGTGGGCAGGAGTTCAGAGAGAACTCATTCATTCGTCATCAGCTTGGATGTCATTTAGAGCTGAGCACCTGCCCGAGGGCAGAGGAGGTGTGTAGGTAGAGAAGCAGCCCTACTCCAACATCTGCAGAGGCCTGGAGGCTGGAAGGCCCTGGTGCACACTGATAGTCAGGCCCATGTAGTGTGGGAAATGAGACCGGCATGGCCTGGAGGCAGAGAGAGCCATGAGGAGTTCCAAGAAGGGGAGTGACTAGTCAGATGTGTGTGTTTTAGAAGGGTGCCTCCGGGGCAGGGTGGAGGGGATGGAGCAAGGCCAGGAGGGCAGAAAGGGGACTGTGGCACCAGCCCTGCCCCAGCACAGCAGCCGGGGACTTGGTGGGGGGTGGTGCAGGGAGACACAAGGGAGGGTGGTTTGTGTGTGGCGCTGCGGACAGGGCTGGGCAGCAGGATGGATGTGGGGTGCAGGAGGACGGCTGGGGGCAGAGAGAGAGGCTTTTGAATTTGCCTCAGAGGAGTGCAGGGTGTCCCCACCCCACCCCCAGCAGCCCACGGCCGCTGTGCTTGTTAGCAAGGAACACTCCTCAGAGGGAACATATGTGCTGTTATTTTTAGGTGATTAGCCGCACGTCGTGGAGCGTTTGTTTGCCAGTCGTGGGTAAACAAAAGCCATTTGTCAAAATGAGATGTTCCAGCCTCGTCCTCCCTTCGGCAGGCCAGTCCCCGCACTGTGAATTCCTGTTGCATCAGCAGTGAAGCTAATTAGCTCCTCGGCTCTTGAATAATAATGGCCACATTTACCGAGAGATTTCTGTGCACGAGGAGCCCTGCAAATGTGATCTACGCAAGAATCACAGGTGCATCTTATTGGCTCCAGTTTGGAGTGGGGGAAACTGAGGCTCAGGGAGGTGGAGCGGTTTGCTCAAGGCCCCACAGCTAGGAAGTGAAAGCTCTGACATTCTCAGATCTGAATGACCCCCAAGCCTGAGATGGGTGAGGGGGCTGCTCTGTTCTTCTGGAATATCTCCCCTTCCCCATCCTGTGAGCAGAAACTGAGCAACATCACAAGCAGCCTAAGGTAATTAGACTATCATTCCTTGTATGGAGTTCAAATCTTCATTGCATCCAAGGTATCTGCTCTGTTTCTCACTTCTGAGTCCTGCACGTGCTAACCTTTCCAATCTCTGGGCTTTGGACAGCCACAGTGAGTCTGAGGTTTGTTTCTGCCACTTCAGGTCTAAGTATGAGCTTGGGCAGGTCTCTGAGATGAAGTGTGTTGGGGCTCATTGGCCAGTGCTCCTGAAGTCAATACCATTGGAAGGGAGCGGGGAGGAGCAGGCTGGGCAAAGGGGGAGGCTGACCTATGATGCTATCTCAGCAGAAGCCTCAGCTGGCCTGAGGATGGGATGACCCCTCAGGACTGTCCCGAGTCAAAGCAAAAGTTCGGGTACTTGGCACCCCACATTGGTGCCAGGGACCCCACATTGGGTCATTGGATGTAGGCCTCCCTGGGAATGGAGCATGAGGGCTGTCAACTTTCTGCAGGCAGTACTCCCAGCAGCTGGGGTAATAAGTCCTTTATTCCTGCAGAGGGACCTGGGTGGCACCTTACAGAGTCCTTCACAGTCACCTCTTGGATCCACTTCATGTAAGTTCTGCGAGAAGCTCTTCTAGGAGGCAACTTGAAGAGGAAAATTACTGGGATGAACTCCAACCCCTACCTCTGAAGTTTTGGGGTCTCAGGGCTGCAACTGACATCCTCACCTGCCCACTCCACTACCCATTATAGACCACCTCACTCTCAGACGACATCTCTGTTGGTCTCCTGATTACCTGAGGGAACTGAGACCCTGGTCACCATGCTATTTTCAGGCCAGGGTTGCTACACTTGTCAACTTAACATCAAAATTGGGCAAGGGAGTACCAAGAAGCACCCAAGGGCATCGCCTGGATGTCAAACATATTCCTCCCAGACCCCATATGCAACCGCTTCTGGATGCCAGGATGCGACTCCTCTTCTTACCGCTGGCCCCTTGATGCAAGGACAAGAAACCCAGAGTGCCAAGGAGGCGACTGTGCTTCGACTTTGAGGGACTCTGGCTGTGCCACCTTGCAGAAGTATTTTCTCTTTGGGAACAAGGACCTCTAAACTTACGGAACCCAGAGTTGAGGGACAGAAAGCACAAATTCTTTAAGTGGGCCACTGGGCCACTTAAGCTTCTACCCCTAGGTTCCTAGACCCGTGTATTCTGCCCAGTGGGGATGCAGTGCCATATATAGTATTTGATTTGAAGTGATACTGCATCTTGGAGGATGGTACTGAAACCTTGTGAAGGCTTGTTTCTGAACTGGCATTGCAGCTCTGTCTTCATCGGGCCAGCAGCTTTGGGGTCATGTGGTGTGCAGTATTAACAGTGGATCCCTGGTCATGGGCCAGCCCACTCCCGCCCCTGCAGGGTTATTGCTATAAGATGGGCTGTTGAGTCAGAAGTGATGTTATGTGGCATCCTGTGCCAGTGAATCAAACACTTCATAGACCCTTGAGCAGAGAATCCATGGGCAGGAAAGGCAAATCTCTATCTGGAACTGGTCTCTATTCCTGATCTTTCAGGAGAGGGTCCAATGTAGTCATCTGCCACATGCCAAGCCAAACCAATCTCAGTTTTATCCTCTTCAGCTGGTGACATGGGAGTCCCCCATGTGGCCATTCGAATGAGCTGAGGCTGCTGGTGCCTCAGTGGGGATGATGTGGGGTCTGGGCTACCTGCCGTGTAGCTTGCTGGTGTCCTCAAGGCGTGCTCATGTTTGACCCGGGATGTCCCCACCATGTTAGATTGATTGATTGGGTCTGGCAGACCCAGCTCATGACAGGCAGTTCCAGCTGCCTGATCACTCGGTGTCTCATGTCTGGGTGTTGTGTGTCACATGAGGGCTAGTAGCACAGGCACACCAGGACCTGTTTTCAGAAGGTGAATAATCCTTTGCTGCTAATTGTAATTCACTCCCAAATTTTAGGGAGTCTCCAGATCCTAAGGGATTCTCCCACTGGAGCTTGCATTCTTCACTGGCATCTCTTCCTATCACTCACATGGCTGACACCATAGGGTCTGCTGAGTACTGTATGGCTCAAGGGATGGGGTTGATGGCTCCAGCAGCCTGACACTTTTGCAGAATCCTTTCTTGCTCTGGGCCTTGGCAGCCTTTCATGGCATTGGCATATGGGGTTGGAGCAGTATTCCTAGCTATGAAATATGTTGCCTCCAGATCTACCTATCAGGTGTTAGGATTTCTTCTTCATGGTGGGAGGTAAAAGATTAAATAATTTATCTTTGCTTTGTAGGTATGTCCCAGTATTCACCAGACCATTGAATTCCTAGAAATTTTACTAATGTGGTGGCCTCTCGATCTTCAGTAGTTTTCTCTCTCACCCTTTGGCTTCCAGCATGCTAGGTACCGCTTGTCTATCTGCCTGATCAGCATGATGACATCAGTGTACTGGATCAGTGTGATGTTCTGCAGGATGTCCGATGATCCAGATCTTTTTGGATGGTCATGACAGAGCTCTGATGAAAGTTGTGAATGTATACTGTTGTCCCTTCCATGTGAATGTGAACTCTTTCTGATTCTCTTTCTTGATTGAGATGGAAATGAGCATATTCACCAGATTAATGGCTTCATAACATGTACCTGAATTCAATTTTTTTTGAGATGGAATCTCACTCTGTCACCCAGGCTGGAGTGCAGTGGGGCGTGATCTTGGCTCACACAACCTTTGCCTCCCAGGTGAAGTGATTCTCCTGCCTCAGCCTCCTGAGTAGCTGGGATTACAGGCGTGAGCCACCATGCCTGGCCAGTTTTTGTTATTTTTAATAGAGATGGGGTTTATCATGTTGACCAAGCTGGTCTCAAACTCCTGACTTCAAATGATCCACCAACCTCAGCCTCCCAAATGCTGGGACTGTAGGCATGAGCCATTTCGCCTGGCTCCCTGAATTCATATTAATCTTCTCTAGCAGCAATACCACACCTAGCAAGGAAGCTGCAATGGGGCTACTAGTTGTTGCACTTCTGGTAGTTTCCATGGGGAACAGACTGGTGAATTAAATGGGACTATAATAGGAATGATCATCCATGCATCTTTTAGATCTTTAAGAACAGCACTCATCTTTGCCATCCCCTGGGATGTAATACTGCTTTTTATTTGCTATCTTGGCCAGAAGGGGGAGTTTCAGAGGCTTCCACTTGGATTTCCCCACTATGATAGCTCTTACCTCACAGGATAAAGGGCTTGTGTCAATTACTAAGTATGTCAATTACAGTTATACATTTGGAGACCACTGAGGGTGGGACCTTGGACTGTGGGTGAGCTGGACCTAAGCTAGAACTCCATTTATCACCTGGCTCCCTTAGGAGGGGCCATGCTAATGCTCTGGGTTTCCCCTTCCCCAGTACACAGTTACCTGAGTAACGTTGGGAAGAAATGGAGGAATCCTCGCTGTGTGCAGTCATGGGGTTCTTCCTCCTGGGGACATAGGCTTTCTGTCAATCAAGTTTCCACGTCCAAGAACTTGCTCAGGGATGGACATTGGGGAAGGGATTTTTACTTTTTTTTAAATTAAGGTGACTGTCCTTAGCTTCCCAGCCATCCATCCGTGCTGTTTTTGATTATGCAGATACAGTAGTATCCTTGTTGGCTCCATATCTATGTGGCCCCTAGGGGTGCCAAGTTCTATTCACTCCACAGGTCTCTGTAGGTCAGGCTCCCCTGGCCTCCTCTCTACCCTACCACTCACCACAATGACATCTTCCTGCCTTCTGATGGTGCCATGGTCTGAATGTTGGTGTCTCCCCAAAATTCATACGTTGAAACCTGACCACCAATGTGAGGGTATCAGGAGGTGGGGCCTTTGGAAGGCGATTGGGTCATGAAGGTGGAGCCTCATGAATGGGACTAGTGCCCTAATGAAAAGATGTCCCAGCATGCTGCCCTGCCTGTTCTACACTCTGAGGACACAGTGAGAAGGCACCATCTATGAGCCAGAAAGTGGGCCTTCAGCAGACACCAAATCTACTTTGATCTTGGACTTCCCGGCCTCCAGAACTGTTAGAAATGAATTTCTTTATAAGCCACCCAGCCTATGGCATTTTGTTACAGCAGCACTAAGGTAGATGGCTTCTAGTTTTCCAAGGTCCTTGGGATCATTTCTGTGAGTAAGCCTGGTTGTACAGTGGCAATTCCTCCTGCCAGCCCTGGTCCCCAGAGAGGAGCCATCACTGAATTTCTAAGTGATCCATTCCTAACAGCCTTGGTAAGTGGGTTATCATCTGGGTCCTGTGTGCAGCACAGGCCTCTGGGAGTTCCAGCCTTACATGGCACACCTCCTCTGGTGGGCCCACCTCTCTGAGCCTAAGTGCCAAGGGCCTACCGTCTGCTCCAGCAGTTCTCACTTCATGCTGGCCGCTGCTTTTTCCCATGTTTCTAGGAATCATCTGCAGTGAGTTTGCACCATCTCCTGGGACACTGGTGAGAGTATTAAATCCTGTATCCTGGGAGAGTTCTCCCAAGTTGATAAATACTCCCTTATCTAACCTTACCTTCTGACCTCCTTGACCAGACACCCTTGGATTCCAGTCCCATGTTCCTGCAGACCTGTGCTGGGTAGGTCCTACAGCTCCTTTGGGGTATAGCCCCATCTTTCCTCACCAGGCTCAACATGCCCACAGCTGGTTGCTGTTGTGACTTCATCCTAGTCATTGGCCTAATGACCAGGAGGACAGACAAGGCAGAGCCTGAGCCGGGGACGTGTTGTCTGGCTGGGGAGAGGCCTCTGCACAGTGTCCAGGCAAGGAGGGAGGGAGTGCCAGCCCTTAGCGGCAGGGGCGGCATTCCTGCCAGCTCAGAGGGCTCAGTGGGGATATAGAGAGTCCATCGTTTGTAGAGACCTCAACCTAAATGTTCCCAGCCTGTGTGTCAGAGTTGTACTCTCTCTCTCTCTCTCTCCTTTTTTTTTTTTTTTTGGCAAGGGGTAGGGGGACAGAGTGTCGCTATGTCACCCAGGCTGGAGTACAGTGGTGCGATCTCAGCTCACTGGAACCTCCGCCTCCCGGATTCAAGTGATTCTCCTGCCTCAGCCTCCTGAGTAGCTGGGATTACAGGTGCATGCCACCACACTTGGCTAATTTTCATATTTTTAATAGAGACAGGGATTCACCATGTTGGCCAGGCTGGTTTTTCATATTTTTAGTAGATACAGGGATTCACCACGTTGGCCAGGCTGGTTTCTAACTCTTGACCTCGTGATCCACCCACCTCGGCCTCCCAAAGTGCTGAGATTACAAGCGTGAGCCACTGTGTCAGGCCACAGGGTTGCGCTCTCTTCTAACCAGGGCCCTGGCCTTGGCACAGTAGACCTGCCTTGGTTGGAGTTGCATCTTCTGTGGATCCTGAGCCTGGTTTCTGCTTTCTCCGTCCTCCTGGTGCAGATGAGAGCCTCTTTAAACGCCAACAGAAGGGCCTCTGGCTTTCACGTTAGCCTTTAATTGCTGAGCTGGGACTACAGGCATGTGTCACCACACCCAGCTAATTTTTTATTTTTAGTAGAGACGGAGTTTCACCATGTTGGCCAGGCTGGTCTTGAACTCCTGACCTCAGGTGATCCTCCTATCTTGGCCTCCCAAAGTGCTGGAATTACAGGCACCCGCCCAGCCAATACATTTTAAAAAATGTTGTATATTGATTTCAGGCCTTTTATTTTCTTAAAAGCAGCAGCTATTTAGCCTAATTCTGAGCAGTGGTTTGTTCTCTGGGCCAGTAGGATTTTATGCATGCTTTTTGTGATCCGTGTTCAAAATCTGCATTGCCAACATTGCAGCTCCAATGTAAGCTTGTTATTCAAATAAATATTTAATTTTTAAACTTGCTTCTGTACTGTATGGCTGGGTACAGTGGCTCATGCCTGTAATCCCAGCATTTTGGGAGGCTGAGGCTGGTGGATCACCTGAGGTCAGGAGTTTGAGACCAGCCTGGCCAGCATGGTGAAACCTCGTCTCTACTAAAAATACAAAGATTAGTTGGCCATGGTGGTGGGCACCTGTAATCCCAGCTACTCAGGAGGCTGAGGCAGAAGAATCACTTAAACCCGGGTGGCAGAGGTTGCAGTGAGCTGAGATCATGCCACTGCACTCCAGCCTGGGCGACAGAGTGAGACTCCATCTCAAAAAAAAAAAAAAAAAAAAAAATTGCTCCTGTATTACCAGATGCCCCTTTTAGTATTATTTTAGAAGCATTGGGAGAGTTTTGGCTAAAGTGCAATTTACCAGAAAACACTAGATTTTAGCTTTATAAAACTTAAATCTTTCATAGGACCTATATTTTCTTGAATTAAATTTTGCAGTTCTAGGCCAGGCACAGTGGCTCATGCCTGTAATCCCAGCATTTGGGAGGCCGAGGCGGGTGGATCATGTGAGGTCAGGAGTTCAAGACCAGCCTGGCCAACATGGTGAAACTCCGTCTCTACTAAAAGTAGAATATAAGTAGTGTATAAGCCCTGGGTCCTAGGCTCTGGGTATAAGCCTCACGTTTTTTCTGGGTATAAGACTTGTGTTTCCTAGGCTCTGGATATAAGCTACATGTCCTAGGCTCTGAGTACAAGCCCAATGTCCTAGGCTCCGTGTATAAGACCCGGGTCCTAAACTCTGGATATAAGCCTTGTGTCCTCGGCTCTGGGTATAAGCCTTGTGTTTTAGTCTTTGGGTATAAGCTCCATATCCTAGGCTCTGGGTATAAGCTTTGTTTCCTAGGCTCTGGGTATAAGCCCCACGTCCTTGGCTCTGTGTATAAGCCCCAAGTCCTAGGCTCTGGGTATAAGCCCCAAATCCTAGGCTCTGGGTATAAGCCCCGGGTCCTAGGCTCTGGGTATAAGCCCCGGGTCCTAGGCTCTGGGTATAAGCCCCAAGTCCTAGGCTCTGGGTGTAAGCCCCGGGTCCTAGGCTCTGGGTGTAAGCCCCGGGTCCTAGGCTCTGGGTGTAAGCCCCGGGTCCTAGGCTCTGGGTGTAAGCCCCGGGTCCTAGGCTCTGGGTGTAAGCCCCGGGTCCTAGGCTGTGGGTGTAAGCCCCGGGTCCTAGGCTCTGGGTGTAAGCCCCGGGTCCTAGGCGCTGGGTATAAGCCCCGGGTCGTAGGCTCACCCCAGGACCCCCCAGCACAGGTCCAGTGGCTTCCCGTTATTAGAGGTGAATGTGATCCTGGGCATCATTTATTTGGGGGAAAATTGGATTCTTTGGGGCTCCAGTTCCTCTCTGCTGCTGGCTCTCCTAGGCTGCCAGTCCCACATCCCACTTCCCCTGTGTAGAAGGGGGAAGGCCACCCCCTCCACACTCCCCCCCATGAGGCTGAAAGTGGCCAAATTCTCCCATAGAAAAAGTTTGCTGCGGCTTTGAATAAACATAGAAATTGATCATCCCAGCCTTAAAGAAAGTTACATTTGTCTCAGTGGAGTTTTCTTGGGAAACCTCCCAGAGAACAGTAGGGAGCTGAAACTTACGAGCTAGAGCTCTGGGCCTGATAGTGAGAGGCCTGCCCCTCAGCCCTCCGGAGTGCCTCAGCCACCTGGTGTCTGTTGACCAACGCCTTTGCCTCCCTGCTCTCTAACTCCTGTTTTTCCACAACTGGTTACATTTCTTCTTGGCCAGGCCTCCAGGACCCCCACCCTCTGCACTGCCCTGGATGCTGACGAAGGCTCTCCTTCCCTCTCCCTAACCAGCTCCTCCCCTCCTCCCACCTTTGGCCATGCAGAGGCCCAGCTACACTGTGCCTCTGCCTCTGAGAAATGGCTGGGGGTGCGCTGCGGGGGTGCGCTGCTGGGGAGCCTGGAGCTGGGGTAGGGATGGGGGGTTGGGGAGAGGGTGTTGTTCTCAGAGTCCTCTGGGTCGCAACCCCAGCAACCCCAGCAGTACCAGATCTTGCATCCCCACCTGGTTTCCTTGCCCGCTGTGCAGTGGAAAGGGCGCACCTGTTTGAAAGGAGCGGCTGTGCTTGCAGAGGTGCGCTGACCCAGGATACTGGTGGCCTTTCCAGCACCCGCCTGTCTGGCAGCTACCGCCCCACGCTCCTATCCCTGCTTAGTGGAGCCCCGCTGCTACCGCGTCCTGTTCTGACCTCTGCCAGCCCGCGCCCCGCTCCCCTCCGCGTCCTGCTGCCCGCGTTCTGTACCTGCCCGCGCCCCGCTCCTACGCGTGCGCCACTCCTATCCGTGCCCCGCTCCTAGCTAAGCCCGGCCCGTGCCCACTCCCACCCGCCGCCTTGCGCTGCCCCTTCCGGCTCCTCCCCAGCAGCCGGCACCCGCCTGGCCCAACAGTGACAGAGCAGGGCGCGCAGCCGCTGAGTGCTCTGGAGTCCCTGCCCCGAGGTGCCACGCCCACGTCGGCCTCACCCGGGCAGGCATGGGGCGGTCGGGCTTAGCGCCGCACCCCGCCGGCCAGAGCCACCGTCTCTCCAGACGCGGCCCCAGCGCCCACTGGGGATGGCAAAGACGACATCCGGTGCGCCGAGGCTGCTCACAAAAGTAAGTCTTGCTGGCTGCAGGCGCCCGCATCGGCCAGTGCAAAGGTGGCCCAGAGTGCCAAGCGGCGGAGCCGAGCTTTGAGAAGCACCTTTCTGCTTGCGCTGGGCAGCGGGCTGCGTGTGACTGGCCACCTGGCCTCGGCTGGGAGCGCACTGGTGGCGGGCGGCGGGCAGGTCTCTGACAGGAGCAGGCGCCCGCGAGCAGCGGGGCTGGTGCCCAGAACCTAGCGCAGTGGGAGTTCCCAGCGTGGTTGTCCCAAGCACCAAAGCCGGTGTCCTGAAGCAAACAGGGCAGCTCTTTCGGGGCAGGTGTGGGCGAAGGGGCGGGGAGCCCAGGAAGCCACGAGTGGCACGGGTCTGCTGTTTTTGAAGGAGACGGTGCAGTCCTGGTTTCCTTTTTTAAAATTTTATTTTATTATGCTTTAAGTTCTGGGGTACATGTGCAGAAAGTGCAGGTTGGTTAACAGGTATACATGGGCCACGGTGGTTTGTTGCACCCATCAACCCGTCATCAACATTAGGTATTTCTCCTAATGCTATCCCTCCCCCCAGCCCCCGACAGGCCCCAGTGTGTGATGTTCCCCTCCCTGTGTCCATGTATTCTCATTGTTCAACTCCCACTTATGAGTGAGAACATGTGGTGTTTGGTTTTCTGTTCCTGTGTTAGTTTGCTGAGAATGATGTTTCCCAGCTTCATCCATGTCCCTGCAAAGGACAGGAACTCATCCTTTTTTATGGCTGCATAGTGTATATGTGCCACGTTTTCTTTATCCAGTCTATCATTGATGGACATTTGGGTTGGTTCCAAGTCTTTGCTATTGTGGAACAGTGCCGCAATAAACATATGTGTGCTTGTGTCTTTATAGTAGAATGATTGATAATCCTTTGGGTATATACCCAGTAATGGGATTGCTGGGTCAAATTGTATTTCTATTTCTAGATCCTTGAGGATGTGGAGAAATAGGAACGCTTTTACACTGTTGGTAGGAGTGTAAATTAGTTCAACCATTGTGGAAGACAGTGTGGCGATTCCTGGTTTCCTTTTTGAGCTCTACCTTCCTCATTCCTCCTCCAGCTCTGCCGCTTTGGCTGGCAGAGGAGTGCAGAGGCTCTCTTTGGCAAGGTTGCTTTGCTCTCCTGCGTTTTTGCCACCTGGTCTTTAAAAACCTAAAAGCCTGTGGTTTCTGGGGTGGCTCCCTTGGAGGGGCTGCAGTGGGCTGAGACCCAGCCTGCAGCCTGGGAGTTCTGTGCCACTGTCTGGGAGGGCACCTGAAGATGTGGCTTTGGGGCCATGGGAGGTCAGGGACAACACTTATGGGTGCAAGTTTTGGGTCTGGGTGTCGGGGCCAGGGGTGCTGCTGCACTGAGGATGAGGTGCAGGGTGTGGTGTTGAGTGTCAGGGGCAGAGTTGCTGCAGTGCAGAGGACAGAGGTGGTGCAGGGCAGGGTTCCTGGGCATGAAAAGGCAGGGGTGACAGAGCAGGAGCACCGTCATCTCAGACAAACACCGCCACTTTAAGTTCCAGCTCCCTTTCTAGCCCCATGCATTTCAAGGATATCACTTAACTTCTAACTACAAGCAGCAGCCAGAAAGAGCAGGCAGTAAAAGATAAGACAGCTTGGGCACAGAGGGAGGTGGGGGGAGGGGGGAAAGTCTCTCAAGTAACTACCAAACTTCACCCTCATACAATGGGCCCCAGTAAACCAGTGGGCCTTAATAATCACAGTCCTTTCCCTTCAGATGCGCTAAGATAGGGAAGCTAAAGCAGACTCGGGGGAGGGGAGGTATGCCTGCGGCTGAAGCAAGATGTATGGGAACAGACACACAATTCTCCCTCCCAGATAAGCACAACAAAGAGACATAGGAGCAGTGCAAGCCTCTGATAAACTCTCCCACCCTGAATCCT
Organism: Homo sapiens; assembly: GCF_000001405.40. Taxonomy (NCBI): domain Eukaryota; kingdom Metazoa; phylum Chordata; class Mammalia; order Primates; family Hominidae; genus Homo; species Homo sapiens. The sequence continues at coordinate 76,208 of NT_187652.1, forward strand.
TAAAAACTTTTAGCATGTAGGGGAGTGCGGCTTCTGACTTGACTTGGACAGAAGTCCCTCCCAGGTTTGAAATAAACCTGCTGACTGTTGAGCCACCCTTCGTGTTTCTCTCCTCTTTAATTCTTACAACCCCTCCTTCTGAGATGGAGATGTTTCCAGCTGGGGAAACTGAGGCTCAGAGAGAGTCGACTAAGGGAAGGCAAGAAAGGGAGGCAGAGCCCCCTGCAGGCCCTCCTCACCCGAGGAACTGAGAGAAGCCAGGGCCAGGGCCTGGCCTGCCTTGCAACCCACTCTGCCTCCACCTCTCCTTGTGGGACCTCGGGGTGGCCCCATTTCCCTTGTGCGGGCGAGGAGCTCCTTTTTGCTGCCTGATGTTTTGGATCCTGAGCCCACACCCAGGCAGGGCTGTCTCCTCTCCCTATAGTTGCTGAGGCCATCAGGCCGCAGGCTTCACCTCTGTTCTCTACTGGGTGATCCTCTGGTCAGGTCCCTGGGTGTGCATGTGGAGGAAGGTGTGCATCCGTGTGCATGTGTGTCCACACATGTGAACACAGGTGTATGCATGTGTGCACGTATGCAAGTGTACAGGGGTGCACCCACATGAGGCTCCCCAGACCTTTTCCCCAGGAGAAGACCATATCTCCCCCTGGTGTCAGGTGTCCACTCAAGCCCTCCAAGGGTGGGGATGGGGAGAAGGGAAAAGTGCCTGGGATGCCAGGCAGGAGTGCAGGCTCAGATGGGCCCTGAGGTGGTCACAGAGCTGAGCCAGGCATCCAGTCTGTGCAGCAGCCAAGATGTGGCCAGAGAGGTTCCTGGGAGGTGGGGGCGGGGGGGTGCTATTCAGGCCCACCCCCTTCTCTCTTCATTCTCCTAGGGGACAGTCACAGGAGCTTGTCTGTTGCCAAAAGTCCCCCTCAGCCCCTCCCTACCTACAATGTCCCTTCCCTGGGCATAGGCCTGAGTGTGAAGACTGTGTAGCTGCTAGCAACAGAAACGGGGCTTGTATGCACCCAAGGGAGACAACTCCAGCTCTGTAAAGCCTGGCGGGGGTGGGTGGCAGGCAGCAGAGGGTCCAGTGGTTTAGGGTACCTCTCGTGGGCTGGCTGCCCACACCACCTACCCCTCAGCAGGCCGGCTCTGGACATAGCGGTTGGCCAAGTCCGAGCCAGCCCGTCTTTGCAACTCCTCCTCCTGCCTGCCAGGGTGACTTCACTTTTTCAGATCTGCAGTGATGTGCAGATCACTGATTCAGCCCTGAGCTCAGCCAGGATGCAGGAGAAAGAGGAGGGGCTGGCCCCGGGGCACCCCAGGCCCAGCTTCCTGGGCCCTCCCACCCCATGGCCCCATGGGCTTCCCTTCCTCCATCTGTCTGTGGCTGGGTGCAGGCCAGACCTCAAGAGGCAGCTGGGGGATATGGAAAGAACAGGGACTTTCCCCACAGAAGCCCAGAACCCACCTCCTACCTCACCCCAGGACCCCCCTGACAGGTCCATGGCTTCCCCTTTTTAGAGGTGAATGTGATGCTGGGCATCATTTCTTCGGGGGAAAACTGGATTCTCTGGGGCTCCATGCTGGCTCTCCTAGTCCCACACCCCGTGCTTTCCTGTGTAGAGGAGGGAAGGGCCCCCCCCACTCCCCCAATGAGGTGGAAAGTAGCCAAATTCTCCTGTAGATGTTTACTGCTTCTTTGAATAAATGTAGAAATTGATCCTCCCAGTCTTAAAGAAAGTTACATTTGTCTCACTGGAGTTGGTTTCTCCGGAAACCTCCCAGAGAACAGTAGGGAGTTGAAACTTACCAGCTCGGGGCCTGACATTGACAGGCCTGCCCCTCACCCCTCTGGACTGCCTCAGCCACCTGGTGCCTGTTGACCAACGCCTCTGCCTCCCGCCTCCCTAATTCTTGTTTTTCCAAACCTGGTTACATTTTTCCCAGGCCTGGCCTCCAGGACCCCCACCCTCTGCACTGCCCTGGATGCTGACAAACGCTCTCCTGCCCCCTTCCCTGCCCATATCTTCCCTTCCTCTGGCCTCTAGCCCCACAGAGGCTGAGCTCCACCGAGCCTCTGCCTCAGGAGAAATGGCTGGGGATGCGCTCTGGTGGGGGGAGCCTGGAGCTGGGGTAGGGATGGGCGGTTGGCGGGGAGGGTGGTGTTCTCAGAGTCCTCGGGTCACAACCCCAGCAGTCTCAGATCTTGCATCCTGCACGGCTTCCCTGCTGTCTTTGTGCAGCAAAAAGGGCAAAGCACAGGGACTGCAGGCAGGTGCACCTGGTGAAAGGAGGGGCTGTGCGTGCAAAGGCGAGCGGACCCAGGTTAGTGGTGGCCTTCCCAGCACCACGCCCTGCTCCCGCCTGCGCCCTGCTCCTACCTCTGCCGGCCGGCTTTGCTCTTACCCGCGCCCCGCTCCTGTGGCGACCCGCTCCTATCCCTGCCTGGCCCGCTCCCCGCTCCTGCCCCTGCCCCTGCCCCTGCCTGGCCCCCGCCCCGCTCCTGCCCTTGCACAGTCCGCGCTCCTCTCCTACATGCCGCCTGCGTGCTTCCCCTGCCTGCTCCTCTCGCGCACGGCGCTCGCCTGGCGGGCAGAGACCAGAGCAGGGCGTACAGCAGCTCAGATTGCCCAGGAGTCCCTGCCCAGAGGTGCCATGCCCACAGTGTCCCTCGGGTCCACCAAGCCCTGGGCAGGCATGGGGCGACCGGGCTGAGCGCCGCACCCCGCCCCGCAGAGCCGCCGGTCAGAACCACCGTCCTTTCTGCGCGACCCCGGTGCGCAGGGGCGAAGGAGACATCCGGTGCTGCTGCCGCTGCTCGGCAAAAGTGAAAGTCCCGCCGGCTGAGGGTGCCCTCACGGGCCAGCGCGAAGGTGGCCCCGTGCGCACAGCGCCCTGATAATTGCTTTTTTTCTTGTGATGGGCATCGGGCTGAGCGTCGCAGGCCACCCGGCCTCAGCTTGGAGAGCATTGGCATGGCAGGTCTGCAGGAGCAGGCGCCGGCCTGGCAGCGGGCTTGGTGCCCAGAACCCAGCCACAGCCGGAGGTCCCAATGTGGCTGCCCCTCCCGCCAAAGCCGCCTCCCGAAGTAAACAGGACAGCCCTTTCTGAGCAAGCATGAGCAGAGGGCCGGGGAGCCCAGAAGTCGCCACTGTCCTGGGCCTGCTGTTTCTGCAGCAGATGGCCCAGTCCTGAGTTCCCTTCTGCGCTCTACCTCCCTCATTCCTCCTCCAGCTCTGCTGCTGGAGTGGAGCGGTCTCTTAGGCAAGGCTACTTTGCTCTCCTGCATTTTTGCCACTCTGGTCTTTAAACATCTAAAAGCCTGTCGTTTCTGGGGTGGAACCCTTGGTGAGGCTGCCGTGGGCCTCAACCCACCGGGCAGCCTGGGAGTTACGTGCTGCTGCGGACAGAGCACCTGAAGATACGGCCTTCAGGGCCATGGGAGGCTCAGGGCCAACACTTACCGGTGCGGGTTTTGGGACTGGGTGTCAGAGGACAGGGGTGCTGCTGTGCTGAGGACAGGTGGGGCAGGGCGGGTGGCCCGGGCATCAAAAGGCATGGATGGTGCTGTGCTGAGGGCGGGGTTCAGGGTGGCGGGGCTGGGATTCAGGGCAGGGGTGCTGCTGTGCTGAGGACAGCGGGTGCAGGGCCGGGGGCTCGTTTTCAGGGGTCAGGGTGGGGGAATGGGTGTCGGGGCAGGGGTGCTGCTTTGCTGAGGACAGGGTGCAGGGTGGGGGGCTTGGTTTCATGATACAGGGGTGCTGTTGTGCTGAGGACGGGGTGAATGTTGACGGGCTGAAGGTCCAGGTACAGGGGTACCACTGCGCTGAGGACAGGGAGTGCCGCGTGGGGCCTGGGTGCCAGGGTTTGGGGTGCAAATATAGTGAGGTCAGGATGCATTGGGGAGAGTGCCGCAGGGACCTCGGGAGCTGTCACATGGCAGGGAGAGGCCGCAGTCAACACCCTGTGTCATGATTTCTTCCCCACCTGTGTGTGGCCAGGCGCAGGGGACTAGACAGTGGCTGCCAAACAGGGAGTGCACCCCGGCGGTGGCTGTAGGGGACCACGACAGTGGGGCCACCTCTCCCTGCGTGTCTGCACCTGGGCCTGCCAGGGCTGTCTGCCATGCTCCATGGGGTGGGGGTCTTCGGCCCCTGGGAGGCTGCCGGTCGGTGTGACTTGGAGAGGTTGTGGTCAGGGGTCCCCTGGGGGCTGTGATGCAGTAACTAACTGCACCCTTTGGGGCTGGGAGGGGTGAGAAGGTTCTAGGCCTCCCAGAGCCCACCTGGCTCCTCCATCAGAAAGGCAGCCAGGCTTGGGGTTGAGGAGGTGATGCTGTGCCCCCTGAGGCAGGCTCCACTTTCCCCAGGGGACCTTGGCTCTAGGGTGAGGCCCAGGCCTGGGAATGGCTCTGAGATCATCCCTGGGCCTCCGTGGAGCTCTGGCGTCACGGCTGTGTGGTTGTGGGGACTTCCCCACACAGTATGTTCTTGCCTTGCATCCACTCAGACAGAGAGCTTACATTTTTATACTTGTTTATCATTGTGAGTTTTGAATAAATTTTTATAACTTTGTTTCAATTAATCTTTACTATCTTCAGCTAGACTTAATCAAAAATTAAATCAATTCTTTATTATTAAAATTCATAGGACTAAAAAAGTATAAAAATTGAACTAATTAAACCTTCAAAGAATATTTTTATATATTTGCAATATTTTTGCTTCTAAAATCAATTAAAGTGCATGAGAAATTTTGGAATATTCAGCATACACACACACACACATATACACACATATCTGTGACAAATCAATTCAGTATTTTCAAATAGAAGAAACAAGCCTTTCTTTTAGTTCAGAAGCTTTATTTTAGTATTTCTTATAAGGTAGGAGTGCTGGCAGCAAATTTTCTGTCTTTGTTTATTGGGGAATATCTTTATTTTTAAAGGATAGATTTGCCGGACACGGCATTTTTAGTTGACAATTTTTTTTCTTTCATTCTTTGACTATGCCATCCCATTGCCTTCCCACCATTGTTTCTTTCTTCTTCTTCTTCTTTTTTTTTTTTGAGACGGAGTCTCCCTCTGTTTGTTGCCCAGGCTGGAGTGCAGTGGTGTGATCTCAGCCCACTGCAACCTCTGCCTCCCAGGTTCAAGCGATTCTCCAGCCTTAGCCTCCGAGGAGCTGATATTACAGGCACGCACAAACATGCCCAGCTAATTTTTGTATTTTTAGTAGAGACAGGGTTTCATCATGTTGGCCAGGCTAGTCTCGAACTCCTGACCTCAGGTAATCCACCTGCCTTGGCCTCACAAAGTGCTGGGATTACAAGCGTGAGCCACCGTGCCTGGCTTCACCATTGTTTCTGATCAGAAATCAGTGGCTAATTTTATCGTGGTGCTCTTGTACATGAAGAGAAGTTTTTGTCTTACTGTTTTCAATATTTACTCTTTGTCTTTTCATAGCTTGACACAGGTGTGTAGGAGTGGATATCTTGATTTTTATTTTACTAAAAGTAAACATTGATTCTATAGATTAATGTTTTATATCAAATTTGGTAAGTTTTCAGCCATTATTTCTGTAAATAGTTCTTTGTTTCCCCTCTTCTTTCTTTCTGAGACTCTCTTTCTACATATATTGTGCTTGATGTTTCATAAGTCATTTTTCTTTTTCTTTTTCTTTTTTTGAGACAGAGTTTCGCTCTTGTTGCCCAGGCTGGAGTGCAATGGCACGATCTTGGCTCACTGCAACCTCTGCCTCCCAGGTTTAAGCGATTCTCTTGCCTCAGCCTCCCGGATAGTGGGATGCACCACCACACCAGCTAATTTTGTATTTTTAGTAGAGATGGGGTTTCTCCATGTTGATCAGGCTGGTCTCGAATTCCCGACCTCAGGTGATCCGCCTGCCTCGGTGGCCCGAAGTGCTGGGATTACAGGAGTGAGCCACCGTGCCTGGCCCTTTTTAAGTTCTTTTAACATAAGTAACTGCTTTGAAGTCTTTGTTTGCTAAGTGTGACATCTGGGGACACAAAGACAGTTTCCCCCCACACTTGCCTGTTTCTTTTTGTCTTGTAACTTATCATTGAACACTGGATACTTTAGGTTATAGACTCTTCAACTCTGGATTCTGATTCTTTTCTGCTGAGAGTTGTTACTGTTTGTTCGTTTGTTTGTAACCAGCCTGCACTAAATTTGTAAATTCTGTAAGCAGCGTGTAGCCGGAGCCGTCTCTGCTCATTTTTTGTTTCTTATGCATGGCTTCCCAGGAACCGCTCCTTTATCTGCGTGCTTGGTATTCTGCCAACAGTTGTCTGAATTTGTACACTAACACCTTGAGTCGGTGAGGCTTCCACTGTGGCTGATGGATCTACCCGTGGACTAGGGCGTGCACACACAGCTCAGGCCATCTGCTTTCCACAGGCACCTCCCCTCGCTGTGTCTTCTCTTCGCATGAGCTCAGGCACCGTCATCAGTCAGTGATGCTGGGTGGTTTGGGCAGGTTCTGGTCTCTGAGGAGACGAGCAGAGCTACTGGTCCTTCCTGTGTGTTTGCATCGATATCCCTATTTGAAAATTCTCCAAATCATGTGAGTCCCTCTGGTGGTGACAGCAAAGCTGCTGGTTTCATGGTGTTCAACAAATGTGTTTTATATTTAGGTCTATGGGCCGGGAGTGGTGGCTCAGGCCTGTAATCCAAGCACTTTGGGAGACTGAGGTGGGCAGATCACCAGAAGTCAGGAGTTCAAGACCAGCCTGGCCAACATGGTGAAACCCCGTCTCTACTAAAAATACAAAATTTAGCCAGGCATGGTGGTGGTCACCTGTAATCCCAGCTACTCAGTGGGCTGAGGCTGGAGAATCGCTTGAACCTGGGAGGCAGAGGTTGCAGTGAGCCGAGATTGCACACAATAAATAAATGATTTAATGCCCATACAATGGAGTGCTGTGCAGCTCTTAAAAAGAATGCCACAAGCATGGTCAACACATACTGTTCTACTGGATGAGGAGTATTACCATCAGCTCCATTTTTCAGGTGAGAAAACTGAGACTTAGGGAGGCTACATAATTTTCCGAAGGTCACTCCCTACTGAATGTAGGAGCAGGGATCTGACAGCCACCTAATGACACCCTAGAACAGCACTCTCTCCTCCGCTCTCCTCCATGTCCCCCTCTGACTCCCGGGAGACCTCCCCAGCTTGCAGTCCCCAGGGCCCTGGTGTCCATAACCCGAGGAAGGGGAGGGGCCCATGAGATCTTGGACTTTCTCACTTTCTGAAAATGAGCAACTGAGAACGAGACTTGACTTTGCTTAGGAAGTATAAACAAATGCGACATTTATTGCCTATCAAATATTAGAAGCAGTTCGTCTATTTAACGTGTGTTAGTATCGGTGTTCCTTTTTATTCAAACTCTCCCTATTGAGCTCAAGAATCAAAGTCAGATAACTTTGTCGATAAATCCCTTCCTTTCTACACCCTTGCTACTCACTGTCTCAAGACCCAAACTCACTGGGACAAGGCGCTGCCCCTCCTGATTCAAGCCTGGTGTCTGCCTCTCACTATGCAAATCAGGAGCCAGACAGCCGCGGAGAGGGCGGCGGTGAGTGCACAGAGCACACGCATGCGTTCGGCTTGCCCCCACGCCGCCCCCGTTATCTCTGTGTGTGTGAAGATGAGAAATTTTCACTTCTCCAGTGAGTTACTGTACTGCTTTGACTCTCACAAGCGTGTCGACTTGATGGATTTTTGTAAATATAGCCGTCAGCGGATGCCTCTTGTCCCCATCTCGGGAACCATAACCCAGATTCCCAAAGGGGAGCTTGCCCACATGGATGGAAACTGAGGCCCTCAGAGAGGCCATCGGCCTTGATCCCTTGCTCCTATTCAAAGATCTCAACATTATTGCAGCCTTCCTTGGGGCAGCCGGACATTCCCGTGTGGAGGAAGCGTCCACTCACGTGCCATGGGAACTTTGTAGATTTCACTGTGATGCAAACAGCTCCCCGTGAGGCCCTCAGTGCCCAGGGCCCGTTGTTGGGTGCTTTTGAGGGTGGGAGGTGGAGGGGTTTCCATTTTGCTTGGGGGATCAGCATCACCCATTCTTTCTCCTTTTCCTCTGGGCTGGTGCTCAGATGGTGAGAGCACTGTGCTGATGAGGTGGGCCCTGGGGTGGAACCCATGGCCCCCTCCGACTCCCAGGAGACCTGGCCAGCTGCAGCGGCCCCCGTGGACCAGCAGAGGGACAAGAGAGGAGCTGACGTGGAGGAGCCGAGGCCCACTGGGGGCTCCTGGAGAGTCCGTCCGCCTGTGGACAGCAGCTCAGGTGTTCAGCTGCTTCCAGAGAGGAAGCACCTCTTCCTAGACTGAGGCATCGTTTTGATTAAAAAAAAAAAAAAGTTGATTTTTTTCACCTTGGTGTAAATTTTTGTTAGTAACAATATGTTAGTTGTCAGTTACCACTATTTGTTTTTCTTTCTTTCTTTTTTTTTTTTTTTTTTTACATTTTTGAAATTATTTACAGAGATGGGCTCTCGCTACGTTGTCCAGGCTGGTCTCAGACTCCTGGCCTCAGTGGTCCTCCCACCTTGGCCTCCCAAAGTGCTGGGACTACAGGTGTGAGCCGTGGCACCTGGCCTGTTTTTCTTTATTACTACAGATATTATCTGAAGCTTTAAAGCCTCCTGGAGTGAAAGCTAGTTCATAACCACGCTGTTTGGAGCGAAGAAAACTACCTGGAATTCTTGTTCTCCAAAGATATGGAATTATCCCAGCAACAGCCGTCCTTCACTGCTCTGTCCTGAGGACCCTCAGGTGTGGCCCATCCAGCCCCTCAGTGTTTACCTCTGTCCTAAGGACTCTCAGGTGTGGGCGATCCAGCCCCTTAGTGTTTCCCTCTGTTTTGGAGATCCTCAGGTATGGTCAATCCTATTAGTGTTTTCCTTTGTACTGGGGATGCTCAGGTGTGATCTATCCATCTTCTCAGTGTTTTACCTCGTTCCTGGAGACCCTCAGGTTCCATCCATCCATCCAATTGGTTTTTACCTCTGTCCTGGAGACCCTGAGGTGTGGTCTATCCATCCCATTAGTGTTTACCTCTGTCCTGGGGACCCTCAGTTGTGGTCAATCCATCCCATTAGTGTTTTTCCATTGTCCTCGAGACTCTCAGGTGTGGTCTATCCGTCCCATTAGTGTTTACATCTATCCTGGGAACCCTTAGGTGTGGTCCATCCATTTCTTTAGTGTTTACCTCTGCCTTGGGCCCCTCAGATGTGGTCGATCCCCAAAGTGTTTTATCTCTATTCTGGGGAATCTCAGTTGTGGTTCATCCATCCGCTTAGTGTTTACCTCTGTCCTGGGGACCCTGAGGTGTGGCCCATCCCCTTATTGTTTACCTTTGTCCTGGGGGCCCTCAGATATGGCCCATCCATCCCCTGAGTGTTTTACCTCGGTCCTCGAGACCCTCAGGTGTGGTCTATTAATTTAGTGTTTACTGCACCCTGGGGACTCACAGGTTTGGTCTATCCCAATAGGTTTTTTATGTCGGCCCTGGGAACTCTCAGATGTGGCCCATCCATCCCGTCAGTGTTTCCCTCTGTCCTGGGGTCACTCAAGTGTGGTCCATCCACCCCCTCAGTGTTTCCCTCAGTCCTGAGGATGCTCAGGTGTGGCCTATCCAGCCCCTCAGTGTTTTCCTCGGTCCTGGGGATGCTCAGGTGTGGTCCATCCATCCCCTCAGTGTTTCCCTCGGTCCTGAGGATGCTCAGGTGTGGCCCATCCAGCCCCTCAGTGTTTTCCTCGGTCCTGGGGATGCTCAGGTGTGGTCCATCCAGCCCCTCAGTGTTTCCCTCGGTCCTGAGGATGCTCAGGTGTGGCCCATCCCTCCCCTCAGTGTTTTCCTCGGTCCTGGGGATGCTCAGATGTGGCCCATCCATCCCCTCAGTGTTTCCCTCGGTCCTGAGGATGCTCAGGTGTGGCCCATCCATCCCCTCAGTGTTTTCCTCTGTCCTGGGGATGCCCATCCCCTTAGTGTTTTACCTCCAACTTTCTCTATTTTTTGTTTCCAGTCTTCCCACACAGGTTGAGAGAGGAGGGGATCCAATTGCCTGTGAGGAGGACACGGCTCCTGGGTGGACCCTGCAGATTGTGAAGTTCAAGTCACAGCTCCTGGGAAGGTCTCTGTGTGTAAAGATCGTGGGGGTGAGACAGATTCAGGGACCACACTCTGCTCTGCTCTGTACCTCTGAGTGTCGATCCAGCTGCCTTGTGACCAGGACACTTAGAAGAAGCATGGACCCTGCAAGAGGGCAGGTTTGGAGAGTGAGATGAGCACGCTTGAGGGATTAACGTGTAACTTGAACCACTGCCTCGCAAACTACGTGAGGGCGTGCAGGTGTGTGTCTGTGCGTGTGTGTGCTGGGGGGATGTTTAGCAGCCTCACGGAGGGGTAACTCACATACAAGAGAACAAGGCCAGGCGTGGTGGCTCACGCCTGTAATCCCAGCACTTTGGGAGGCTGAGGTGGGTGGATCACGTGAGGTTAGGAGATCGAGACCAGCCTGACCAACATGGTGAAACCCTGTCTCTACTAAAAATATAAAAAATTAGCCAGGTGTGGTGGTGCATGCCTGTAATCCCAGCTACTCTGGAGGCTGAAGCAGGAGAATCACTTGAACCCGGGAGGCGGAGATTGCAGTGAGCCGAGATCACGCCACTGCACTCCAGCCTGGGCAACAAGAGTGAAACTCCATCTCAAAAAAAAAAAATTTTTTTTTGATCGATGTTGACACACATACGCACCCGCAAAACCATGACCAGGAGCATCACGACTCCCAAAGCTTCCTCGTGATTCTTTGGAATCCCTCCCTACAGCCCCTCCCACCCCCCCCCATCCCAAGCAGCCACTGATTTGCTTTCTGTCACAGTCAGTAGATTTGCAATTTCCTTAATACCATGTCTGAGCCCAGTAGGCAAATACTTTCTTTTTATTGGGTGGACATTTTGTGGCATGTTCAAGCTTTTGAATTCAGAGAGTGAGAGAATGAGAAAGAAAAGGCTGGTCTGGGTCACTCCTGGGAGGCCTGGCCCTAAGCACCGTGTGGCTCACGTGCCCTGGAGCCCCTGTGCACCGGACATCCCTGACTGCCCTGCTGCAAGCTTTATAGCTCCCCCATCACCTTTCCCGGACCAGCTGGTACAATCTCAAACTTTTCACCAATTCTGACATCTAAACAACTAACGCCAGAGACAGGCTCTGTGGGACCAGCAGCTGCGACCTCACCTCCGGTCACTGGAACACTGAGCTGTTAAATGAAAGGTGCGTCCTTTTTTTTTTTTTTTTTTTTTGAGACAGCGTCTCGCTCTGTCACCCAGGCTGGAGTACAGTGGCACGATCTCCGCTCACCGCAACCTCTGCCTCCCAGGTTCAAGCGATTCTCATGCCTCAGCCTCCTGAGTAGCTGGGATTACAGGTGCCTCTCATCACGCCCAGCTAATGTTTGTATTTGTTGTAGAGACAGGGTATCACCAGACTCCTGGGACCTCCGCCTCCCGGGATGGTCTCCATCTCCTGACCTCGTGATCCGCCTGCCTCTGTCTCCCAAAGTGCTGGGATTACAGGCCTGAGCCACCGCGCCCGGCCAGGTGCGTCCTTCTTTCTCCCTTTCCAGGGAGAATGCTCTGCTCTTCTTCCTGCTGGATCCCTCCTCTACCTGCTTCTCTCCCACCTCCTGCAGCCCCCGGAGCCCCATGGCGATGCAGGCAGACTCATCTGTACCCTCATTCTGTTTGCAGAGCCACATCTCTGGGCTGGCTCTGCCCAAGGACACCACACCTTCTCCATTCCTCTTGCCCTTTCCCCGTGGGGTGCAGGTGGGGCTGGGCCCACGATGGCATCAGGCCCACTCTCTCTAATGCAGGAAGGGATCAGATGCCGGGAGCCATGGAGATTGTCCTCATCCCGATCATCTCCCATCTTAGCAAATGATGATGAAGACAGTTTTCCCACAAGATAGGCATAGCCTCTGGGACAGTGCCTCGTTTATTTTCTAGCACAAAATAGACGTTAGAACAGTGGGGCTTTGTGGGCATATGGAGATTTTTAAGGCTCCTTAGGAGGCAGGTAAAAATTTCTTCAATAAGACAAAACACTATCCCCAAAGAAAATGATTGATACATTGGATGATAGTAAAATTAAGAATTTTTTCATCAATAAGAGTAAAAAGATGGGGCCGGGTGTGGTGGCTCACGCTGTATCCCAGCACTTTGGGAGGCCAAGGCGGGAGGATCACTTGAGGTCAGGAGTTAGAGAACAGCCTGAGCAGCTTAGCAAGACCTCGTCTCTACAAAAAATGAAAAATTGGCTGGGCATGGTGGTGCATGCCTGTGGTCCCAGATACTTGGGAGGCTGAGGCAGGAGGAACACTTGAGCCTGGGAGGCTGAGGCTGCAGTGAGCCATGATTGTGCCACTGCACTGCAGCCTGGGTGACAGGGTGAGACTCTGTCTCTTAAAAAAAAGAGGTGGGGAATGGAGGAGGGTGAAAAGATAAATTACATGTAGAGTATAAAGAGAATTCCTGTAAGTTAATAAAAATGCATGCGGGGGCTTAATACCTAGGTGATGGGTTGATAAGTGCAGCAAACCACCATGGCACATGTTTACCTATGTAACAAACCTGCACGTTCTGTACATGTATCCCAGAACTTAAAGTAAATTTTTTTTTTTTTTTTGAGATGGAGTCTCGCTCTGTCGCCCAGGTGGATTGCAGTGGCGTGATCTCAGCTCATTGGAAGCTCTGCCTCCTGGGTTCACGCCATTCTCCTGCCTCAGCCTCCCGAGTAGCTGGGACTACAGGCACATGCCACCATGCCCAGCTAATTTTTGTATTTTTAGTAGAGACGGGGTTTCACCGTGTTAGCCAGGATGGTCTCGATCTCCTGACCTCGTGATCCACCTGCCTCGGCCTCCCAAAGTGCTGGGATTACAGGCATGAGCCACCGCGCCTGGCCTAAAGTAAAATAAATTTTTTAAAAAATTAAGAAAAAAGCTGGCAGACCAATAGGACAATGGGTGAAAGAAATGAAGAGGGACACAAAAGGGAAAGAAGAAAGGGAGGGAGGAGGGGGGAGGGAGGGAGGAGGGAGGGAAGGAGGGAGAGGAAAGAGCAAATGAACATCCAAATGGCCAAAAAGCATTTAAAACATGCTCAGCCTCATAAGCCATCAAATTTAAACCACAGTGAGAAATCAATATTACACCTACCAGAATGGCTAAAATTAAAAACACTGTTGATACCAAGTTTGGGCAAGAATGTGGAGTAACTGAAACTTCATATACTATTGGGAATGTAAAATAGCACAACTACTTTGGAAAACCCCTGGGTAATACCTACTAAAGGAGACCACACCTGTGATCCCCACATTCCACTCCTGTGCATAGACCCAAAAGAACTGTGCACTGTGCACGTGTTCACCAAATGACGTGCGACGTGCACTAGAATGTTTATACCAGCACCCTTCACAATAGCCCCAACTTCCAACAGGAGAATGGATAAGTACCTCTCAATATATTTATAGAGTAAAGTTCTTACAGCACTGAAAATGGATTAACAGCCGCCATGCACAGTTGGTGAATCTCAGCAACATAATGTTGAGCAGAAGCAGCCAGACACAAATGAATGCGTACGGCACGATTGTGTTTCTGCGAAGCCCTAAAACAGGCCAAAGAAACATCTGGTGAGAAGTCAGGATAGCGATGATCTTAGTGCTCTGGGGGAGGGTGGCTCTGGTATTATTCTATTTCTTGATCTGAGGGCTGGTGTCCCAGACGTATTCACTCTATGATAATTTACCAAGCTGCCCTCTGGGGACTGGTGGCTTCTCTGTATGAATATTACACTTCAATTAAAATAACAAAAACCTAACAGTCAAATTCAGAAATGAGTAAGGCCGGGCACGGTGGCTCATGCCTGTAATCCCAGCACTTTGGGAGGCCGAGGCAGGCAGATCACCTGAGGTCAGGAGTTTGAGACCAGCCTGGCCAACACGGTGAAACCCGTCTCTAGTAAAACTACAAAAATTAGCCGGGTGTGGTGGCACGTGCCCGTAATCTCAGCTATTTGGGAGGCTGAGGCAGGAGACTTGCTTAAACTTGGGAGGTGGAAGTTGCAGTGAGCCGAGATCACGCCACTGCACTCCAGCCTGGGTGACAGAGTGAGATTCTGTCTTAAAAAAAAAAAAGCAAACGAGCAAAGGACTTGAATGGACATTTTTCCATACTCAGCATCACTAATCATTAGGCAGATGGAAATGACAACGAGATTCCATTTCACTCCTACTACATTGACTAGTATCAAAGAAAACCCAGAAAATAACGAATGTTGGTGAAGATGTGGAGAGACTGGAACCCTTGTGCGCTGCTGGTGGGAATGTAAAATAGTGCCGCCCCTCTAGTAAACAGTAAGGCAGTTCCTCGGAAATTATACCTAGGGACGCTCCAGCAATTCCACTTCTGGGTTTATATCCCCCAAAAATTGAAAGCAAGGAAATAAAGAGACACCCATCCCTGTTGATAGCCGTGTTATTCAAAATAGATAAAAGGTGGGAGCAACTCATATCCATTGACAGACGAAGGGATCAATAACATGCGGTATGTACATACAATGGAATATTATTCAACCTTACAAAAAAAGGGTATTTGGACCTAGGCCTCAACATAAATGAATCTTGAGGACTATGCTGAATGACATAAGGCAGACACAAAAGGACAAATATTGTGTATTTCCACTCACATGAAGTACCTAGTATATTTCATAGAGACACAAAGTAGAATGTGTCTATGAAGTATACAGGGGCATGCTTGAAGTATACTAGGTCTAGTAGGAAGCCAGGGGCTGGAGGGAGGAGGGAAAGGGGAGTGGCTGTTTAACAGGCAGAGTTTCAGTGAGGATGAGGAACGACCTCCGGAGATGATGGAGGTGATGGTAGCATGCCAATTGAAGGCTCTTAACATTACTGAACACTTGAAATGATGCAGATGGGAAATTTCGTGTTACACATATTTTATCACAGTTTTTCAGGTAGTTGCCTTTTAAAAAAGTTCCTTCAGAATTTGTTTTCCTCCTTGACATGCATATTTGAACACTGGAGACAAAATTTCTGTATCGTTCTTGGTCAGCAAAATGTTTTGTAAAAGTGTCAGGAGGAGGCCAGGTGCGGTGGCTCACGCCTGTAATCCCAGCACTTTGAGAGGCCGAGGTGGGCAGATCACCTGAGGTCAGGAGTTCAAGACCAGCCTGGCCAACAAGGTGAAACCCTGTCTCTACTAAAAATACAAAAATTAGCCGGGTGTGTTGGTGCACAACTGTAGTTACAGCTATTTGGGAGGCTGAGGCAGGAGAATCGCTTGAACCTGGGAGGCGGAGGTTGCAGTGAGCTGAGATCGCACCACTGCACTCCAGCCTGGGTGACAGAGCAAGACCCTGTCTCAAAAATAAAATAGTAAAATTTAAAATTCAGGACCTCCTCACCAGAGCTATACTTTGAGTGCACAGTAGCCATATGTCTATACTGCAGAAAACATTTCCATCCTCCCAGAACCTTCTCTCATGCAGCTTCTGTGAGCCTCGCATCAGTTGTGTTCACTGAACTCATCTAACTCAAAGCACATGCATCAAAGCTGGAATTTCAGGGTTATCGGTTTGCAGGTGAGAGCCGTAATGGTCCAGTGGAAGTGTACAGCTGGAAGGGAATGTCGTCAGCTCCTCCCTCTCACCTGAAGGCTCTCGACTATGAGCCGTGCCTTGTTGACAGCCTCTGAGTCCACAGAGCACAGGGAGAATCTGAGGACACAGGACAAGGCAGGAGACCTTGTGTCCTCCACGTGGTTGCACATAGAGTAGAAGAGCTGGGTGAGTAACTCTCTGGAATCACCTTTCTGCTGATGTTTGTGTCTCTACAGATGGGCTCAAGGACAGCTTGCCTGACTGCAGCCATAAGGATGAAGCCTCTTCAGGTAGAGAAGGACTCCAGGTGGGGCCTGTGCAGAGGGTTCTTACGGGCGCAGTAGGATTGGGGCTATAAAATCAGTAAATGGAAAAGGAGCCAGGTGCAGAAGTCTGATTTATTCCTTTTTTTTTTCTTTTTCTTTTTGGAGACAGGGTCTTACTCTGTCACCCAGGCTAGAGTGCAGTCAGTGTGCCACTGTGGCTCAACCTCCGTCTCCTGGGCTCAATCAATCGTTCCACCTCAGCCTCCAGAAAGTAGCTGAGAATACAGGTGCATGCCACCATGCTTGGCTAAGTTTTGTACTTTTTGTAGAGACAGGGTTTCGCCATGTTGCCCAGGCTAGTCTTGAAATCCTGGACTCGAGATCTGTTCACCTCGGCCTCCCAAAGTGCTGGGATTATAGGCAAGAGCCACCGAGCCCGGCCTCCTTTTGTATTTTAATTAAGACAGAGTCCTAAGAGGTTGTGTTTGCATGGATGTTGTGTGTGCTCTGCTTGTCATATTCATTTCTTGCTCTGGTGTTTAAAGATGACCTTTTGCAGAAAACCAGATCTTTCCTGCCTGTGCCACAGAAAGCACTAAATCCTTGGGTTTTGATGGGATGGCATCCTTTGTGAATGGAGAACACGGGATTAGTATGTGGGTGTGGCATTTGGTGCTATGCGGGGAGTGATGTGGGACACAGCCCCTCACAGCCCCTAAGTCTCCCTGGAGACAAAGTCTCCCACGTGTGTGCCAGGAGGTGGGAGGAGTCCACCCTCTCCCTCTGCACCCTTGGGACCTGCAGCAGCACCTTCCTGTCCCGTCCTCACCATCGGCTCCGGGTTGAAAGGCACCCACAGGGTTGGATGATGCAGAGAATCCTTCCTCTGGGATGAATATGTATGCCCCGGCTGTGGAGGCACGAGGGGAAGCCCACGCTTCACCCGCCGTGGGGTCGCGAGGGGAAGCCCACGCTTCAGCATGTTTCTGGCCACTCCTCACCCAATCCCAAATCCTTGGGTTAGGAATGAAGCCTTAATTGGGTTTCATTTGAGAAGTCAGTGTCCAGCTGTCACCGAGGCCCTCCGTGGCTGGCAGGAATCCTAGGGGACATGCGTGGAGGGGCTGCTGTGTTGCTGCAGGCACTGGCTCTCACCCTCCCCGTGACCTGGCTCCAGGAATCCACCACGCCCAGGACGGGGCCACTGGGCAGCCGGCACAGGGCTCAATTTTTTGTCACGCCCTTTGCTCTGGCCTGGCAGCCTTGTCCTGTTCCCCACGCTGCCATCAGGCCCAGCGTGTTCCCTGGGTCAGGCCGGCCAGGTGCCCTTCCGCCCAGTCCTCCCACAGCTCAGGCAAACCCTGGCAGGGCCCCTTCGTTCATATGCTAACAACCACGGCTTCACCTGCGGATTAAGGCAATGGGAAAACGGGCTTTCCCTGGAATCCCGTTCTGTCCTTGCCAATCATTGAGATGCTAGTGGGATTCTTGTTAGGCTTGAATAGTTTACATTTCCAGGGTCATCCCAGGCTTTGGTCATCATCATCTCTCACAGATCCCAACACAACCCAGGCCTGTGGCCATGTCCCTGACCTAGGGTGGGATCCATGGATTTACTGGAAGGACTGGCAGTGCCCTTCTTTCCAATGTTGTTCTATTGGAGACCAGTAGCACTGGTGGAGGTTGACATGGAGAAAGGAAACGGGCATCAATCAGGAGAACAAAATCAGGCCCTAACGGTTAGAGCAGAGAGGGAAGTCTGTGCCAGGCACAGAGCATCATGGAGACAGTGGCCGCCTCCTGGGGAAAGGGGATGACACGGGCCTCCCCTCCCTGGGGAATTTGAGGGTTATGGAATTTGAAGGCTGGGAAAGCATGTGGGAAATCAGAGGCCCCTCCCTCGCTGTAGGGAGGAAGTGATCCAGGCTGTGGAGAGGACTCTAGAGATGAGCACACTAGAGCCTCTGGGGTTGGCGTCACAGCCCCAGGACAGCGGGGCCCAAATGGCCCCTCGACTCTAACTCTCCCCTTTCCTTCCCATGGCTGCCCCATCACCGCTGCTGCTCTGGACACCCTGAAGGTCATTTGGCCAATTTAATGCCGACAGAAGAGGCCACCATCTGAATGTAATTTATCTCCTCTTTCATCTCCTTTCATTCCCCTCCTCCTTTTTTTTTTTTTTTTGGGACAGAGTCTCACTCTGTTGCCCAGGCTGGAGTGCAGTGGCGTGATCTTGGCTCACTGCAAGCTCTGCCTCCCAGGTTCACGCCATTCTCCTGCCTCAGCCTCCTGAGTAGCTGGGACTACAGGCACCCGCCACCACGCCCAGCTAATTTTTTGTGTTTTTAGTAGAGACGAGGTTTAGCGTGTCTATGTGACACCCCAGGATTTTAGCAGATACACAAGTGAAAAACCATGTTGCTAAAAAGTATTTCCCATCTTCCAATTTTCTTATCATCATCTTGGAAATAAAATCTGTACGTACTTGGGAATAAAATTTATTGAATTATCAAAAATATGTATGCTAATGTATGTGAGTCATTAGCTATATCCACATTGACATAAAATTTGTGAAGACTCTTCAAAATCTCTTAAAGATTTATTTGGCTGGGCGCGGTGGCTCACGCCTGTAATCCCAGCAGTTTGGGAGGCTGAGGCAGGCGGATCATGAGGTCAGGAGATGGAGACCATCCTGGCTAACACGGTGAAACCCCGTCTCTACTAAAAATACAAAAAACTAGCTGGGCGTGGTGGCGCGCGCCTGTAGTCCCAGCTACTCGGGAGGCTGAGGCAGGAGAATGGCGTGAACCCGGGAGGCGGAGCTCGGAGTGAGCCGAGATCACGCCACTGCACTCCAGCCTGGGTGACAGAGCGAGGACTCTGTCTCAAAAAAAGGAAAAATAAAAACACGAGAACGTACTGCAGGAGAAAACAGGCCTGGCCTGAGACGGCTGTGCCGGCTTTCTGAGGCCGTGAATGGCAAGACCTCGAGACTGTCAAGAGGAGCAAGAGGAGTCGGGATTTAGCGTCAGTGATGAGGTGCGCCACTCACTGTGTGACTTCAGAGTGTTTCTGGGGAAAGAAAATGAAGTCCTGTGAAGTATGCGGAGCACCCTCAGCAGCAGCCGTGGATCTGAACAGCCTCCCAGACACAGACGCCATGGGTGTGAAGTGTGTCAGGAACAAGCGAAGTCACCCACAATGGAGAGGAACACCCTAGTGTGCTAGAACTTTTGAACCACTTTTCCTCCTGTCTTGGGTCAGGCCTCATAGCTAACCCTTTGGTGCGCGGTACTCTCTCTGGCTATTGGAGAGATGTGAGAAGCTTAAGAAAAGCAAATGAGAAGACGTGGAGCAGGCAGATGGCCGGTCCCCATGGAAGAGTCCCCATTGTGAGGCCTCCCTGGGGATCTGGCGGTGGCCACAACACACTGGCCGGTGAGATTGGTTGTGATTGTCATTGTTGTGGAAAATGATTATCATCTGTCCTCAATGGTGCCAATGCTGACTCACCTGGAGGTGGAATGATGGCCATGGTGACACTGAGGAGGGAGCGTGGCAGAGGGAATGATGGCCGTGGTGACACTGAGGAGGGAGCGTGGCAGAGGGAATGATGGCCGTGGTGACACTGAGGAGGGAGCGTGGCAGAGGGAACGATGGCCATGGCTGACATTGAGGAAGGAGCTGGCAGAGGGAATGATGGCCGTGGTGACACTGAAGAGGGAGCGTGGCAGAGGGAATGATGGCCATGGTGAAACTGAGGAGGGAGCGTGGCAGAGGGAATGATGGCCGTGGTGATATTGAGGAGGGAGCGTGGCAGAGGGAACGATGGCCATGGTGACACTGAGGAGGGAGCGTGGCAGAGGGAACGATGGCCATGGTGACACTGAGGAGGGAGCGTGGCAGAGGGAACGATGGCCATGGTGACACTGAGGAGGGAGCGTGGCAGAGGGAACGATGGCCATGGTGACACTGAGGAGGGAGCGTGGCAGAGGGAACGATGGCCATGGCTGACATTGAGGAGGGAGCTGGCAGAGGGAACGATGGCCATGGCTGACATTGAGGAGGGAGCGTGGCAGAAGGAACGATGGCCATGGTGACACTGAGGAGGGAGCGTGGCAGAGGGAACGATGGCCGTGGTGACACTGAGGAGGGAGCGTGGCAGAGGGAACGATGGCCGTGGTGACACTGAGGAGGGAGCGTGGCAGAGGGAACGATGGCCGTGGTGACACTGAGGAGGGAGCGTGGCAGAGGGAACGATGGCCGTGGTGACACTGAGGAGGGAGCGTGGCAGAGGGAACGATGGCCGTGGTGACACTGAGGAGGGAGCGTGGCAGAGGGAACGATGGCCGTGGTGACACTGAGGAGGGAGCGTGGCAGAGGGAACGATGGCCGTGGTGACACTGAGGAGGGAGCGTGGCAGAGGGAACGATGGCCGTGGTGACACTGAGGAGGGAGCGTGGCAGAGGGAACGATGGCCGTGGTGACACTGAGGAGGGAGCGTGGCAGAGGGAACGATGGCCGTGGTGACACTGAGGAGGGAGCGTGGCAGAGGGAACGATGGCCGTGGCTGACACTGAGGAGGGAGCGTGGCAGAGGGAACGATGGCCGTGGCTGACACTGAGGAGGGAGCGTGGCAGAGGGAACGATGGCCATGGCTGACATTGAGGAGGGAGCTGGCAGAGGGAACGATGGCCATGGCTGACATTCAGGAGGGAGCGTGGCAGAGGGAACGATGGCCGTGGCTGACATTGAGGAGGGAGCTGGCAGAGGGAACGATGGCCATGGCTGACATTCAGGAGGGAGCGTGGCAGAGGGAACGATGGCCATGGTGACACTGAGGAGGGAGCGTGGCAGAGGGAATGATGGCCATGGTGACACTGAGGAGGGAGCGTGGCAGAGGGAATGATGGCCATGGCTGACATTGAGGAGGGAGCTGGCAGAGGGAATGATGGCCATGGTGATATTGAGGAGGGAGCGTGGCAGAGGGAATGATGGCCATGGCTGACATTGAGGAGGGAGTGTGGCAGAGGGAATGATGGCCATGGTGACACTGAGGAGGGAGCGTGGTAGAGGGAATGATGGCCATGGTGACATTGAGTCAGCACTTATTAGGTTCCACGTGTACATGGTCAAGTTTTCCTGTGGTTTTTCTCAGAAAGGAGCCATGATCCTGCAACAGTGAAACAGGAAAAGTGCTAACAAAACTGACTCCATTTTTATTTAATGGGCTTTTTCTCATCCCTGCATATAAGCTAGCATAATTTTAGAGCGCTAAGATAAAACGCAAAAGCGGTAATCATGTAGTTTTTGCAACTAACTGTGGGATTAATGGAAAGTATGTAAACAGCTAACTGTGGTTTGTTAAAGATTTATAGGAGCATTGTGATCTGACCAAGGAGAAAGAAGGTCCCAGCCTCCTGGGACCATTGCTGGCACCTGGATGTGTGAGGTAGTCAGGTACCTGTTGATCCCAACCCTCTCCTCTTCCACCCTCCGTTGAACCAGATAAGCGCTTGTCAGTGCTGTTTTGGGAGTATTCTGCCCTGTGGTTAAATAGGTGTGAGTGCTGGAGAGTCCTGCAGCAATCTGGGGCTTTCTGGTGCTGTGAAGACAGTTACTCTAAAAGTCCTGATGCCATCTCTGCACTTGGGTACAGTCGTGTGACTCTGGGTTTATGACAGATCCTTCAGCTACCCTACCTGCCACTCCATATCTGCTGAGATTTTCTTTCTTTCTTCTTTTGTTTTTGTTTTTGTTTTGGGACGGAATCTCGCTCTGTTGCCAGGCTGGAGTGCAGTAGCATGATCTCAGCTCACTATAACCTCTGTCTCCAGGGTTCAAGTGATTCTCCTGCCTCAGCCTCCCGAGTAGCTGGGATTACAGGCGCCCACCACCACATCTAGCTAATTTTTGTATTTTTAGTAGACACAGGGTTTCACCACGTTGGCCAGGATGGGTCTCGATCTCTTCACCTCATGATCCGCCCGCCTCGGCCTCCCAAAGTACTGGGATTACAGGTGTGAGCCACCGCGCCCGGCTGAGATTTTCATAATGTGTTTGAGACATGCTGTTTATTTCTTCTTTTTTTTTTACTTTTAATTGAAATATTGTATACATAGCAAAAAGTCATTCCTATCATAAATGTACAGCTCAATGAATTTTCATGAAATTTAATCATTAACCAGATTGAAATGAAAACCACAACAAAACCCATGACTGGAAGCCATCCCCGATAAGCCTTCTGCGGCCAGCTTCCTGTGGTGAGCCTCCCCATCAAGGGTAACTGCAGCCTCCTTGGAAATAAAGGAGATCAGGACTCCTTTTGTGTGAGCTTCATTTACTCTGTTTTGCGAGATTGGCCCACGTTGTCGCATGTGTTTAAGGATCTGTCCTTCCCGCGGGGACATAGCGTGCCAGGGCTGAAATGTCCTAGAATCTGTTCACAGGTTCTACTGTCAGTGAGGGTTTGGGTGGTTATGGCTTTGGGAGGTGATGAAAGTGCTGCTTTCCTGTGAGTGTCTTTGGGGAGCACACACGCTCTTTTCTGCCGGATATTCTCCACCCAAGGGGTCGCCGGTCATCGCACATGTGCTTGTCCACTTTCAGCAGCTACTGACAGAGTTTCCCAGGTGGAACGTGCAACGGATATCACGCCAGCTGAGGAAGACAGTTTGGTTGCTCCCCAGCCTCTCCAACAATTGGTATTTTCTGATGTCTTCATTCTGGCCATGCTGAGGGATGCATTAAAAGCACATAGAAAGTCCAGATGCCTCTGGGCAGCTCACAGATTCTGAATGTTGGGAGACAAGGACAACTGTCAATCTCTGTCAGTGCTAGGACTGATTCTCAGTATCTGACCCAAAACTAGGAACTGAGGCGATGGTTTGTGGTATTCGATAACGTTGTCAGCATATGCCCTAGAAGTGCTCAAATCCTGGCACATACACAACCTAGGGACGGGACAAACGTGAACTCGGCATGGTCGGTTATAGCTTGCGTCTAGCACCTTGTTTTTGCAACTCTCATGTCCAGCTGGGGTGGGGCCATGCACGGGCAGCATCCCGATGTCCCACCACCGCCCCGTCCACCCAGCTCCTCCAGAGGATGAATTACAGTGGCTTCCTAGTGGCAGGACAGATGAGGGGTCCCATCTAATGCCAGGTTAAGATTGTCTTTCTTTTTCTGAGGTAGAAGCGGTGCTTTGCTGTTTTATCAATTGAGTTCAGTTATGGAAACGTGGCCACATACATTACAGAGGTTAGCGGCTGTTTCCTCAAGGGCTTGGGAAAGAAGTCTCTTACCAAACGAGGCCTGATTCAGGAGGGCACATAAGCCGGGTTGTGTCAGGTTCTTCACTGTGCATAGAGAGCCTTTTCCTCAGTAGCAATTATTTCCTCCGTGGGTTAATAATTTTGCAACTGCTGATTGAAATAAACATGACAGGCCGGGCGTGGTGGCCTATAATCCCAGCACTTGGGAGGCCTAGGCGAGTGGATCACCTGAGGTCAGGAGTTCATGACCAGCCTCGTCAATATGGCGAAATCCCATCTCTACTAAAAATGCCAAAATTAGCCAGGCGTCGTGGCACATGCCTGTAATCCCAGCTACTTGGGAGGCTGAGGCAAGAGAACTTCTTGAACCCGGGAGGTGGAGGTTGTAGTGAGCCGAGATTGCACCACTGCACTCCAGTCTGGTTGACGGAGACTCCACCTCAAAAAACAAACAAACAAACAAAAAAAACAAAAAACAATAGACATGACAGACACATTCTCCAGCAAAAGTCTGCCCTATGACAGGAGTAGGTTTTCTCTACCCTTGCTTTTAGATTCCTTTGACTTGGCCGGGCACAGTGGCTCACGCCTGTAATCCCAGCACTTTGAGAGGCCAAGGTGGGCAGATCATGAGGCCAGGAGATAGAGACCATCCTGACCAACATGGTGAAACCCCGTCTCTGCTAAAATACAAAAAATTAGCTAGGCGTGGTGGCACATGCCTGTAGTCCCAGCTATGCAGGAGGCTGAGGCAGAGAATTCGCTTGAACCTGGGAGGCGTAGGTTGCAGTGAGCCAAGATCACGCCACTGCACTCCAGCCTGGGGGACAGAGCAAGACTCTGTCTCAAAAAAAAAAAAAAAAGAAAAAAGAAAAAAATAGATTCCTTTGACTTGACCCCTATTTATCCTCTTGTTTTATAAAGTCAACAGGAAGAAACAAACAAACAAACAACAAAAAAAAAACCCACCTGTGCTTAGAGAACACATCGGAACCTATGGTACTGTAGTGCCTTCTTTTCTGTCACTGTAGGTGGCCTCAGAGGGGAAAATTCATGCATATTCTGCATGTGCCACTTGTGAAGGAGAAATCTAGATGATAGGGAAGGTGAGTCTTCCTTGCTGGCTTTCGTCTGGGGAGCCACCCTGACTCCAGCTTTCTGGTTAGAATGAGGATTGGTGGTGATGAAGGAACATTATTTTCCAGGTAAAGCACTGTGACCGTGTTTCCACAAGCAGTTGCGTTTCCTTTAGCTGGTATGAGTTTGTGCGCGTGGGCGGTGGGGTGTGTCTGTGTGGGGTGGGATTTGTGTGGGGCGGCCGTGTGTCTGTGCCCACGTCTGTTTCCGCTGGTGTTATACTCCGCCTAGACAGCAGAGTTGCAGGTGTAAGCTTTCTCAACAAGGAATGCCGTCCCCATTACTCCACAGCGTATATGTGGAGCCTAACCGGGTGGACTGCAAGGCAGTTCCGACCCTCACCACTCAGGGTTAGCACCAGATTCCACAACTCCAGAGCTGAGTCCCACAAAACTGCCCTTACTTCAGACACCAGCTGAACTTTGGGAGTCCCCAAGCCACCTGCACTTCTGACAAACTGGCTATAAATTCAAGGATTACCATGACTTCCTCAGGTTCAAAACTTCACTAGAAATGACTCAGAGAATTCAGAAAAGGGCTATATTTACAATTTGATTAGAAATGATCTGCATAGAGCAAGGCGTATGGGGCTGGGGGGTCCTGGATGCATGGCTTCCATGCCTTCTGTCTGGGGAATCGGGTGGCGTGCTGGGGGTGGGTTCCAGGTCACAGTTGGATTCAAAGGTTTCTTGATTGGCAGTTGGTTGAAAGGGTTAAACTCTGTCTTAAAAGTTGAAATCAGCTTCAATTAGGTAACATGGTGTGGTCGGGGGTGGGAGTTTGGGAAGTTGTGGGAGCCAAGGTTCTTGTCACGTAAATGACACTTCCAGGCAGAGGGCTTCAGAGAGGATAGACGTAAACGTCTCTTATTGGACTTAAAAGGTAACAGACTTTCTGGAAAGACCTAGTGATGGAGCCATATGCTCTACAGATTGCAAATTTCCCACAAAGAGACAGCTGTGTTGGGCCATTCCAAAAAATGTCAGAGAAATCTGTCTCGGGGTAAAATACTCAGACTTCCTTCAGGACCTGCTTTCAGGTGATGCTATACCAGAGCGCATTTGAAGTTGGGTATCTTATTGCTACAAGGCGTTTCTTCCGTCAGTCTTAGGATCTCTATTTTCATGTCACTGCTGCTCAGTTGGGTCTGAACCACAAAGGGTGGAGGGAATACTGAGGCGTGCCCGACCCCTCTTCTCCCTCATGGCCTGAATGAAGTTTTCAGGTTTATTTGGGTCCCCTTGGCTGAGAGGAGGATCCGTTCAGTTCATTGAGGGGCTTAGAAATTTAATTTTAATTTACATTGTAAAGTGTAAACATATACAATGTTGATCAGTTATACCTGAATAGAGCTGAGGGAAAAGAGAATAAAAGGAACCATGACTAACAACAATGAAAAGAAATGGAAGCTGAGTCACATTTAAAATATTTATTAATCTGTTTTCAAATAACAGAAACAAGACCATTACAGAGCAACATAAATAGCATCTTTTTGTGAAAAATATTTTCCAAAGCAAAAGTGATTTGTGGGAAAAGTGGCATTGCTTTCCCATTCTCCGAGAGTCTGTCACATCTGA
Source organism: Homo sapiens (assembly GCF_000001405.40). Lineage (NCBI taxonomy): Eukaryota > Metazoa > Chordata > Mammalia > Primates > Hominidae > Homo > Homo sapiens. Next base: position 102,163 of record NT_187652.1, read on the forward strand.
CAACAGGAGCTGGGACCCTGTGCCTGCCTCAGTCGGGGCACCGCACTCCCCACAGCACACAGCCTCTGGGCACTTGGCCAGGCATAGTAGCTCATACTTGTAAACCCAATTTTTTCCTTCCTCCCTCCCTTCCTTCTTTCATCTCTCTCTCTCTCTCTCCCCCCGCTTTTTTTTTTTTTTTTTTAAGATGGAGTCTGGCTCTGTTACCCAGGCCGGAGCCTAATCTCGCCTCACTGCAACCTTTGCATCCCAGGTTCAAGCAATTCTCCTTCCTCAACCTCCCAAGTAGCTGGGATTACAGGCATGCAACGTGATGCCCAGGTAATTTTTGTATTTTTAGCAGAGACGGGGTTTTGCCACGTTGGCCAGGCTGGTCTCCAGCTCCAGATCTCAGGTGATCTGCCTGCCTCGGCCTCCCAAAGTGCTGGGATTACAGGCATAAGCCACCACACCTGGCCCCAGTTTTCAATCATAAGGTACTATTCCCAAAATATGAAATGCTAAATGTCTCATATCACCTTTGGCATTCAAATGTCCAACATCTCAGCGTTTTGTCTTATTAAAGACTGCAAAAATGTACAAGACTTTAAAACCATGAAATTAACTAAGTAAAACTAAGGAGACCCAAATAAAATTCAATGTACTTAAGGTTCAGTGCAGCTATAACAGAATATCTAAGACTGGGTAATTTTATTATTATTATTAATTTTATTTTTTTTTTGAGACAGAGTCTCGCTCTCTCACCCAGGCTGGAGTGCAGTGGTGCAATCTTGGCTCACTGCAAGCTATGCCTCCTGGGTTCACGCCATTCTCCTGCCTCAGCCTCCCGAGTAGCTGGGACTACAGGCGCCCGCCACCACGCCCAGCTAATTTTGTGTATTTTTAGCGGAGACAGGGTTTCACTGTGTTGGCCAGGATGGTCTCAATCTCCTGACCTTGTGATCCGCCCGCCTCGGCCTCCCAAAATGCTGCGATTAGAGGCGTGAGCCACCGCACCAGGCCAAGACTGGGTAGTTTATTTTTAAAAAAGAGGCTTTTTTGGCTCAATATTCTGGTGACTGGAAAGTCTGAGATTGGGCAGTGCACACGGTGAGGGGCTTGTGCTGCTCCAACTCCTGGCAGAACGTGGAAGGGGAAACCAGCACAGGCAAGGAGAGCACATGGCAAGAGAGGAAGCAAGAGGGTCCAGGAAGCCAAACTCACTTCCATAACACCCCACGCCTGGTAACTCATCCAGTCCCACGAGACAGCGTTCATCTATTCATGAAGGGTCTGCCCATCACCCAAATACCTCCCACTAGCCCCCACCTCCCACCACCACCACATCGGGAATCAAATTTCAACATGTGTTTTGGTGGGGACAAACCACATCCACACCGTAGCATACACCCCACCCTGTGGGGCCATGCTGCTGTGTCCTGCCCCTCCCAGTTGCTGTGGCACCCTAGCCGTTGGGGCCTGAGCTGATTTGTGCCCTGCTTTCCAGAGAATCAATGCCTTGGTCAGCCAGAGAAATCACAGTCCCTAATGCAAGAGCTGAACAAGTGCCTCACTTGATGGGAAGTCCCCAGGCTGAGCTGAGACGGATGGAAAAGAAAGCTCCTCTAAATAATAAAGGCCGCCTCTAAAAAACCCACAGCTAACATCATAATCAATGGGGAACAATTGAAAGTCTTTCCACTAAGATTGAGTTCAAGACAGGGATGCCTAGCCTTGTCACTTTTATTCAACATAGTACTGGAAGTACTAGCAAGAGCAATTGGACAAATTTAAAAAAAGGCAACTAAAAAAAGAAACAAATTATCTCTATTTGCAGATGACATGATCCATATGAAAAAACCTCAGATTTCCCATAAGAAAATGTTAAAACTAAATGAATTCAGTAAAGTTGCAGCATACAAACTCAACATACAAAAATCAGGAGCGTTTCTATACACAAATAACAATCTAGCTGAAAAACAAATCAAGAAAACAATCCCATTTACAGTAGCACCAATCAAAATAAAATACTTAGGAATAAATTTAGACAAGAAGGTGAAAGACTAGTACACTGAAAACTATAAAACACCGATGAGAGAAATTTAAGAATACACAAACAATGTAAAAACATCCCACATTTCTGAATTGGAAGAATTAAAATTGTTAAAATGGCATACTATCCAAAGCAAATATACAGTTTTTAAGACAATCCCTATCAAAATTCTAATCGCATTTTTCACAGACATAGAAAAATACAATCCTGCAATTGACATGGAACCACAAAAAACCCCAAGCTAACACAATACAGAGGAAAAAAATTAGTGCTGGAGGCATAACACTACGTGATTTAAAATTACATACAAAGCTATAGTAATAAGAACAATATATGGTATTGGCATCAAAACAAAAACATAGACCAATGGAACAGAATAAGAAGCCTAGAAATAAATCAAAACATACACTGTCAACTAACTTTCAACAAGAGCAACCAAGAGGACACAGTGGAAAAAAGACAGTTTCTTCAATAAATGATGCTGTAAAACTGGATTTTCACAGGCCAAACCATGAAATTGGGCCCTTATCTTACACCCTATAGAAAATCAACTCAAACTAGATAAAAGACATAAATAAGATATGAAACCATGAAACTCCTAGAAGAGAATGTAGGGGACAGCCCCCTCGACGCTGGCCTTAGCAATGATTTTTCAGATAATCCACCAAAAGCCAGGCTGCATGCAAAAGTCAACAAGGAGGACCGCATCAAACTAAAACCCTTCTGCGCAGCAAAGGAAACAATCAAAAAAAGGCAACCTACAAACTGGGAAAAATATTTGCAAGTCACTAACTGATCAAGGGCTAATATCCAAAATCAATGAAGAACCCTTACAACTTAAGCAGACAAATAACCCTGTTAAAAAGCTAACAAGAGACCTGAACAGACATTTCTCCAAAGACGACAAAAACAATCAGCAGGAAGTGGGGAGATGAAGGCCAAAACACGCAAAGTAGCAGACGTCGGATGAACAAGGCCAGAGACCTAATGTATAACATGAGGACACTGTCTTGGGATTTTTGTTGAGTAAGTAGATTTTCGCTGCCCTTGACACACAAAAAAGTACCTATGTGAGATGGTAGGTATGTGAACTTGCTGACTATAGTAACCATTTTACTACTGACGTGTACCTTTGACATCATGCTGTCACCTCAAATATACACAGTAACATTTAGTTTTAAAAAAGAAAAGTTTGGCCAGGAGTGGTGACTCATGCCTGTAATCCCAGCACGTTGGGAGGCTGAGGTGGGTGAATCAACCTGAGGTCAGGCGTTTGAGACCAGCCTGGCCAACATGGTGAAACCCCGTCTCTACGGAAAATACAAAAATTAGCCGGGTGTGGTGGTGGATGCCCGTAATCGCAGTTATTCAGGAGGCTGAGGCAGGAGAAGTGCTTAACCCCGGGAGGCAGAGGTTGCAGTGGGCTGAGATTGCGCCGCCGCTCTCCAGCCTGGGTGACAGAGTGAAACTCCATCTTGAAAAAAGAAACAAAAAAGTTGGCGGGGGGCGGAGCTCGGCGGAGACGGGAAGGGGTCGCCGTGGCTGCCGCTCCTCGAGTTGGGGGCCCCCTCGGACACCGCCAGGCAGACGGCGAGTACCGAGCGTGGGTGGCCGCGGTGTCCGTGGGCCACGCTCAGCTGCGGTCAGAGGCGACATGAGCGCCGCGGGGCTGCTGGCCCCGGCCCCGCCCGGGCTGGAGCGTCCCCGGGGAGGACGAAGAGCTGGAGAGCGCCAAGGACGACGAGCGCAGCTGCCGGGCCGCGAGTCGGACGAAGACACTGAGGATGCTAGTGAAACTGACCTGGCAAAGCATGATGAAGAAGACTATGGGGAAGTGAAGGAACAGATGTATCAGCACAAACTGGCTTCTCTCAAGAGGCAGTTGCAACAACTACAAGAAGGTACATTACAGGAATATCAGAAGAGAATGAAAAAACTAGGTCAGCAGTACAAAGAGAGGATACGGAATGCTGAACTCTTCCTCCAGCTGGAAACTGAACAAGTGGGACGAAATTACATGAAAGAAAAGAAGGCAGCAGTGAAAGAATTTGAAGACAAGAAGGTTGAGCTGAAAGAGAACCTGATTGCTGAGCTAGCAGAAGAGAAGAAAATGATTGAAAACGAAATGCTGACAATGGAACTGAATGGAGATTCTATGCAGGTGAGACCTATCATGACCAGAAAGTTGCGGAGGCGACCAAAATGATCCCGTCCCCATCCCAGACAAGAGGAGGAAACCTGCTCCAGCCCAGCTAAACTATTTGTTAACAGATGAACAGATCATGGAGGATCTGAGAACATTAAATAAGCTTAAGTCACCCAAGAGACCAGCATCTCCATCCTCTCCTGAGCACTTGCCTGCGACACCCGCGGAATCTCCAGCCCAGAGGTTTGAAGCTCGGATAGAAGATGGCAAACTGCACTATGACAAAAGATGGTACCACAAGAGCCAGGCCATCTATCTGGAGTCAAAGGACAACCAGAAACTGAGCTGCGTGATCAGTTCTGTAGGAGCCAATGAGATCTGGGTGAGGAAGACAAGTGACAGCACCAAGATGAGGATCTACCTGGGCCAGCTTCAGCGCGGGCTCTTCGTCATCCACCGGCGCTCAGCTGCTTGACTTTCTACAGTGCTCTTCTCTTGACCCTTTTTCTGGAGTGGGTTTTATTTTTGTTTTGTTTTGTTTTCTTCTTAACAGAAAAATGTTAACTTACTGGGAGTAGCTACTCAGCCTTAGAAATGGAGAGCATTGTAGTGGATTCTTTAAGGCACTTTTGTGGCCAGCCCCTTCCAACTTCCTCAGTCTTTTCTGCCTCAACTTCTTCCAGACATCAGTCACCATGAGACTGTTTTACTTTCAGGAGTATTGGGGGGTTTGATTTACTTTCCTTTTATTTCTTTATTTTTTGCTTATACTTGTTTTTGAAAACCTCCTCTGAGTTTGAAGGGACAGCTATTTTTATTAATTATCTTTAAGTCTCTCTGCCATGGAGAAGAGCAGGAAGGCATACACTGTCCAGTGCATTTTCATTAGTGGATCACGTAGCTACTTTCCCTGTCGAGTCCAATTCACTATTTCCTCAGAAGCTTGGGGCAGAGGTCCTAGCAGAAGGAGATGAATTCTCCTGGCTCTCAGCCTTCTTGGAGAAATAAATGCTTTGTGTAACATCTGGTGCATGCCATCCATTCCACTGGCTGAGCGATGGAAAAGCTTGCCTGGGAGACTCTGTGCACTGAAGTAAATGGGGTTGGGGGAGGGGACATTTCATATTTATAATGTGCTGAAGGTACCATATTTTAAATGTTATTTAATGCGGTGATTTATTCAAACATTTATTCTAGCTTAAGCTGGAATAAGCAGTGGTCATTTCAGAAGTTTTCATTTGTAATTCACTCCTCTCCCTTGTTCCCAAGTAGGTAGTAGTAGTATGTGCCACAGGCTGATTATCTGGGTAATCTCTTGTGGGTGGGAGGTGAGATTGATAGTGCAGTAATCAGTGATCTATAGACCCGCATGCACGATTCAAGTTTCACTCTTGTGGCTGATGCCATCATTGCACATTGGCCATTCCAAACCTGCGGAGAACTTTGTTGTCAGGCCCTCAGCACTCAGAGCTTCATTTGGCCCAGGTTGAAGACAAGGAAAGCTCTGCCGTGGCTGCCTCTGCACTGACACCCTCCCTAATGAGTCCTGATGAAACAGCCTTTCCTACGTCCTTCCCTCATTCCCATGATTGGAGAAATGATTCATTGGGTGATGAGTGTTGGGGTTTTCCATACTCATGTTGCCATCTTGAGATGTTTAAAAAATTTGGGGTTAGAGCAACTGTTAGCGTCTCCATGGGCAATCAGTAGAACTTACACATTCCAGGAAATCTTTCTTTGTAAGTAATTCTTTTGGTCTCAAGTGATTCCCTTCAAGTTGTCTCTTGATGTACAAACCCCAAAGCAAGTTGAGGGGCTGTGATGACAATTAAATCACCTTCTCTGAAGTTCTGGCTCTACAGAGACCAGAACTTACTGACTTGTGCAGACTTGTACAAGTAAAGACTTATACAGATAGATTTTTGTTTTAACTTATAATCTGTTTTTTTCCTCTTTTTTTTTTTTCTGGTGTTGGAGTCTTATTTAGAAAACAGGATAAATGACGCTGTTATAAAAAAAAAAAATTATCTCCAATCGAGAGAAAACCACTATTACCATGTTTTGTGTTCCTTTCCAAAATATTTTATGAATAAACAATTGTTCAGTCAAATTTATTTTTATTTTATTTTATATATATATTTTTATTATACTTTAAATTCTAGGGTACATGTGCACAACGTGCAGGTTTGTTACATATGTATACATGTGCCATGTTGGTGTGCTGCACCCATTAACTCGTCATTTACATTAGGCATATCCTAAGGCTATCCCTCCCCCCTCCCCCCACCCCACAACAGGCCCCGGTGTGTGATGTTCCCCTTACTGTGTCCAAGTGTTCTCATTGTTCAATTCCCACCTATGAGTGAGAACATGCAGTGTTTGGTGTTTTGTCCTTGTGATAGTTTGCTGAGAATGATGGTTTCCAGCTTCATCCATGTCCCTACAAAGGACATGAACTCATCCTTTTTTATGGCTGCATAGTATTCCATGGTGTATATATGCCACATTTTCTTAATTCAGTCTATCATTGTTGGACATTTGGGTTGGTTCCAAGTCTTTGCTATTGTGGGTAGTGCCGCAATGTGAGACCTTATACCTGAAAATTCGAAGCATGTAACACATTACCTATAAAAGTGTCTGATCTCCTCTTTTCCTGTTTGAATGCCCTTTATTCATTTCTCTTGTCTGGTTGTTGTGGCCAGGATTTCTGATGTTGAAAAGGAGTGGTGAGAGAGGTGATCCTTATCTTGTGCTGGTTTTCAAGGGGAATGCTTCCACCTTTTGTCCATTCAGTACGATGTTGGCTGTGGGTTTGTGACAGATGGCTCTTGTTATTTATTTATTTATTTTTTGAGATGGAGTTCCACTCTTCTTGCCCAAGCTAGAGTGCAATGGCACGATCTTGGCTTACTGCAACCTCCGCCTAATGGGTGCAAGTGATTCTCCTGCCTCAGCCTACCTAGTAGCTGTGATTACAGGCATGCGCCACCAATCCTGGCTAATTTTTTTTGTATTTTTAGTAGAAATGGGGTTTTACCATGTTCGCCAGGCTGGTCTCGAACTCCTGACCTCAGGTGATCTGCCCGCTTCGGCCTCCCAGAGTGCTGGGATTACAGGCATGAGCCACCGTGCCCAGCCCATGGCTCTTGTTATTTTGAGGTATGTTCCTGCAATACCTAGTTTATTGAGTTTTTAATATGAAGGGATGTTGAATTTTATCAAAAGCCTTTTCTGCATCTATTGATATGATCATGTGGTTTTTGTCTTTAGTTCTGTTTATGCAATGAATCACATTTATTGATTTGCATATGTTGAACCAGCCTTGCATCCTGAGGATGAAGCCTACTTCATCATGGTGGACAGGCTTTTTGATATGCTGCTGGATTTGGTGTGCTAATATTTTGTTGAGGATTTTTACATCAATGTTAACCAAGGATATTGGCCTGAAGTTTTCTTTTTTGTTGTGTCTCTGCGAGGTTTTGGTATTAGGATGCAGACAACATGATTCTACGTCTGGAAAACCCCATATTCTCGGCCCCAAAGCTTCTTAAGCTGATAAACAACTTCAGCAAAGTTTCAGGATACAAAATCAACATACAAAAAAAATCACTAGCATTCTTATACACCAGCAACAGCCAAACCAGGAACCAAATCAAAACTCAATTCCATTCACAATCACCACACACACACACTCCTAGAAATACAGCTAACCAGGAAAGTGAAAGATCTCTACAAGGAGAATTATACAACACTGCTCAAAGAAATTAGAGATGATACAAACAAATGGGAAAACATTTCATACTCATAGATAGAAAAATTGCCCAAAGCAATTTATAGATTCAATGCTATTCCTATCAAACCACTAATGATATTCTTCACAGAAATATAAAAAACTATTTCAAAGTTTATATAGAACCAAAAAGGATCCCAAATGGCCAAGACAATTCTAAGCAAAAAGAACAAAGTTGGAAACATCACACTACCCAACTTCAAACTACACTACAGGGCTATAGTAACCAAAACAGCATGGTACTGGTATAAAAAAAGACACATAGGCCAATGAAACAGAATAGAGGATCTAGAAATAAGGCCACATACCTATGATCATCTGATCTTCAACAAAGCTGACAAAAACAAGCAATGGAGAAAGGACTTCCTATTCAATAAATGGTGCTGAGATAACGGGCTAGCCATATGTAGAAGATTGAAACTGGATCTCTTTCTTACACCATATACAAAATCAACTCAGGGTGGATTAAATAATTAAATGAAAACCCAAAACTATAAAAACTCTGGAAGGCAACCTAGGTAATACCATTTTGAACATAGGAACTGGCAAAGATATCGTGATGAAGACGCCAAAAACAATTGCAACAAAAGCAAAAATTGACAAATGGGATCTAATTAAACCAAAAAGCTTGTGCATGGCAAAAGAAACTATCAACAAGAGTAAACAGCCTACAGAAGAGGAGAAAATATTTGCAAACTATACACGTGACAAAGGTCTACTATCCAGCATCTATAAGAAACTTAAGGCTGGGTGCAGTGGCTCACACTTGTAATCCCAGTACTTTGGGAGGCCGAGGCAGGTGGATCACGAGGTCAGGTGATGGAGACCATCCTGGCTAACATGGTGAAACCCCGTCTCTACTGAAAAAAAACAAAAACAAAAACAAAAACAAATTAGCTGGGCATGGTGGCGGGCGCCTGTAGTCCCAACTACTTGGGGGGCTGAGGCAGGAGAATGGCATGAACCCGGCAGGCAGAGCTTGCAGTGAGCTGAGATCGCACCACTGCACTCCAGCCTGGGCGACTGAGAAAGACTCCATCTCAAAAAAAAAAAAAAACTTAAGCAAATTTCCAAGAAAAAAACCAAGCAACTTTATTTTATTTTTTATTTATTTTTTATTTTTGAGACAGAGTATCGCTCTGTTGCCCAGGCTGAAGTGCTATGGCACACAATCTCGGCTCACTGCAACCTCTGCCTCCTGGGGTCAAGCAATTCTCCTGTCTCAGCCTCCTGAGTAGCTGGGATTACAGGCACCCACCTGTAATCCACCACCACACCAGGCCATTAATTTTTTGTATTTTTTTAGTAGAAATAAGGTTTTGCCATGTTGGCCAGGATGGTCTCGAACTTCTGACCTCAGGTGATCTGGCCTCAGCCTCCCAAAGTGCTGGGATTACAGGCCTGAGCTACCGCACCCGGCCATAAAACAACAATATTCCAAAGTGAGCAAAGGGCATGAGCAAACACTTTTCAAAAGAAGACAAACTTGAGGCCAACCAGCATATGAAAAAAAGCTTGGCTAGGCGCGGTGGCTCACGCCTGTAATCCCAGCACTTTGGGAGGCCAAGGCAGGTGTATCACCTGAGGTCGGCAGTTCAAGACCAGCCTGGCGAACATGGTGAAACCCGCCCCCCCAACCCGTCTCTACTAAAAATACAAAAATTAGCTAAGTGTGTTGATGCATGTCTGTAATCCCAGCTACTCGGGAGGGTGAGGCAGGAGAACTGCTTGAACCGGGAGGCGGGGGTTGCAGTGAGCCAAGATGGCACCACTGCGCTCCAGCCTGGGTGAAACAGAGCGAGACTCTGTCTTAAAAAAAGAAAAGAAAAGAAAAGCTCGATATTACTGATCATTAAAGAAATGCAAATCAAAACCACAATGAGATACCATATCGTATCAGTCAGAATGGCTATTATTAAAAAATAAAAAAATAACAGATGGTGGCGAGGTTTTGGAGAAAAAGGAATGCTTATACACCGTTGGCAGGAGTGTAAATGAGTTCAACCATTGTGGAAGACAGTGTGGTGATTTCTCAAAGATATAAATACAGAAATACCATTCCACCCTGCAATCCCATTACTGGGTATATACCCAAAGGAAAATAAATTGTTGTTATAAAGACACAGGCACAGGTATGTTTATTGCAGCACTATTCACAGTAGCAAAGAAAAAAAAAAGACTCCAGGAGGCGTCCCTGGGAGACTTTCTCCAGCCTCATAGCCCATCTTGCGCCCAAGTGACAGCACGTGGCTTTCCTTTTGTGAGGGGAGCCCATGGGATTCACTCCCTTTTCCTATTTCCTCCGGGGTGAAGCCTCATGTGTCGGGACAATGTGGGATCAGGGACTGTCTGGGTGACCCTGGCGAGCCTCTCCTCACGGAGTTCTAGCGGCCATCAGGGAAAGGGGAGCACGCCCAGGGCGGCCGCCCCCAGGGGTGTTTGGATACAGGCCAGGAGCAGGCTGCTCTGTGATGGTGGGGCGGGGGGTGATAAGACTCCCCTGAGAGGCTCCCTTCGGTGCTGGAAAGATGGGACATGGGGAACCGCCTCCTGCCTGGACCTGTTGATGCCCAGAGCCACTCCCCTGGGTCCTCATCGCTCCTTCCAGGCAGTGAGGATGTGGGTTTCCAGGGGAATCCAGGCCTTTAGGGAGAGTGGGAATCTGACTTTGATCTTGCAGCTCCGCATTTTTCCTGCACATTTGCTGATTAGTTTATGCCTGTCAGGGGCCTCAGGGCCAGTGCTAAGTCCCAGGGTCTTAGGGTAGGAAAGATGATTCCCCAGATTTCCTGCAGGCATTTGAGCATGGTGGAAGGATCAGTGGAGCCTCCAGTGAAACTTGGCAGATTGCGCACTTCATTTATTTTCACTCTCCCAGGATCCTTCCCAAATTATCATAAATAAACAGAGAATTCTGAAACCTACAAAGAAAAATACAGCAAAAGAACAATGAATCAGTTTCAAAGCCTAGGCAGAGAGGCCGTAGGGTGACTGACAGCAGCCCCTGTGGGACTGGACAGCAGACGGTTTGGTGGAAACGGCGCCCAGTTCCACAGAGGGAACTTGAGGAGAAGCAAAGTGACTGAGCCAGCAGAGCCGGGCCCCAGACACCCACCCCAGCCTGTAGGAGCTGCAGGTGTGATCTGGGAACACACTGTTCTGTCCCTTCTATTTTTCTCTTCATATAAGCTCTGGTTCTAGAAACAACTCACCTGCAGCCGTGTGTGTGTGTGTGTGTGTGTGTGTGTGAAAGAGAGCACGTGGGAGCCCATTTCTCCCTGGGTGTGTGTGTGTGTGTGTGTGAGACACAGAGCACGTGGGAGCTCATTTCTCCCTGGGTGTGTGTGTGTGTGTGTGTGTGTGTGAAAGAGACACAGAGCACGTGGGAGCTCATTTCTCCCTGGGTGTGTGTGTGTGTGTGAAAGAGACAGCACGTGGGAGCTCATTTCTCCCTGGGTGTGTGTGTGTGTGTGTGTGTGAAGACAGAGACACAGAGCACGTGGGAGCCCATTTCTCCCTGGGTGTGTGTGTGTGTGTGTGTGTGTGTGAAAGAGACACAGAGCACGTGGGAGCGCATTTCTCCCTGGGTGTGTGTGTGTGTGTGTGTGAGACACAGAGCACGTGGGAGCCATTTCTCCCTGGGTGTGTGTGTGTGTGTGTGTGTGTGTGTGTGTGTGAAAGACAGAGACACAGAGCACGTGGGAGCCCATTTCTCCCTGGGTGTGTGTGTGTGTGTGTGTGTGTGTGAAAGACAGAGACACAGAGCACGTGGGAGCCCATTTCTCCCTGGGTGTGTGTGTGTGTGTGTGTGTGTGTGTGTGTGTGTGTAGACACAGACACAGAGCACGTGGGAGCTCATTTCTCCCTGGGTGTGTGTGTGTGTGTGTGTGTGTGTGTGTGAAAGACAGAGACACAGAGCACGTGGGAGCTCATTTCTCCCTGGGTGTGTGTGTGTGTGTGTGTGTGAAAGACAGAGACACAGAGCACGTGGGAGCTCATTTCTCCCTGGGTGTGTGTGTGTGTGTGTGTGTGTGTGTGAAAGACAGAGACACAGAGCACGTGGGAGCCCATTTCTCCCTGGGTGTGTGTGTGTGTGTGTGTGTGTGTGTTTGTGTGAAAGAGACACAGAGCACGTGGGAGCCCATTTCTCCCTGGGTGTGTGTGTGTGTGTGTGTGTGTGAAAGAGACACAGAGCACGTGGGAGCCCATTTCTCCCTGGGTGTGTGTGTGTGTGTGTGTGTGTGTGTGAAAGACAGAGACACAGAGCACGTGGGAGCCCATTTCTCCCTGGGTGTGTGTGTGTGTGTGTGTGTGTGTGAAGACAGAGACACAGAGCACGTGGGAGCTCATTTCTCCCTGTGTGTGTGTGTGTGTGTGTGTGTGTGTGTGAAAGACAGAGACACAGAACACGTGGGAGCTCATTTCTCCCTGGGTGTGTGTGTGTGTGTGTGTGAAAGACAGAGACACAGAGCACGTGGGAGCTCATTTCTCCCTGGGTGTGTGTGTGTGTGTGTGTGAAACACAGAGACACAGAGCACGTGGGAGCCCATTTCTCCCTGGGTGTGTGTGTGTGTGTGTGTGTGTGTGTGTGTGTGAAAGAGACACAGAGCACGTGGGAGCGCATTTCTCCCTGGGTGTGTGTGTGTGTGTGAAAGACACAGAGCACGTGGGAGCCCATTTCTCCCTGTGTGTGTGTGTGTGTGTGTGTGAAAGAGACACAGAGCACGTGGGAGCCCATTTCTCCGTGTGTGTGTGTGTGTGTGTGTGTGTGTGTGTGAGAAAGAGACAGAGCACGTGGGAGCCCATTTCTCCCTGGGTGTGTGTGTGTGTGTGTGTGTGTGTGAGAGACACAGAGCACGTGGGAGCCCATTTCTCCCTGGGTGTGTGTGTGTGTGTGTGAGAGAGACACAGAGCACGTGGGAGCCCATTTCTCCCTGGGTGTGTGTGTGTGTGTGTGTGTGTGTGTGTGTGTGTGTGAAAGAGACACAGAGCACGTGGGAGCCCATTTCTCCCGGGGTGTGTGTGTGTGTGTGTGTGTGTGTGTGTGTGTGTGAGACACAGAGCACGTGGGAGCGCATTTCTCCCTGTGTGTGTGTGTGTGTGTGTGTGTGTGTGTGTGAGAGAGACACACAGAGCACTTGGGAGCGCATTTCTCCCTGGGGGTGTGTGTGTGTGTGTGTGTGTGTGTGTGAAAGAGACACAGAGCACGTGGGAGCGCATTTCTCCCTGGGTGTGTGTGTGTGTGTGTGTTTGTGTGTGTGACACACAGAGCACGTGGGAGCGCATTTCTCCCTGTGTGTGTGTGTGTGTGTGTGTGTGTGTGTGACACACAGAGCGCGTGGGAGCGCATTTCTCCCCGGCTCCAGATGGCGGCGAGGAAAAGCGAGATCGCACAGGATCCAGGTTCTTTGAGGCCTGATGCCCATTGTCCCACCCTCAGCCTTGGCCTGTCCCCAGCTTGCTGCTGCCTCAAACTACAGGCTTCCAAGCACTTACTGGAGCCATTTTTTCTCACGTAGCCCTCCAACTGTTAGTCAGGGTTAGCCAGGCTCTGTCCGCCCCCAGCCAATCAGACAGTCAGTTTCCCCAGCCAGCGGGGAGTTTCTGGTTTGCCAAGACTCAGAGGCTGGTGGAAGCCAGACTGGGAAGGGGGTGGCTCTCCTGGCTGAGCGGGGGAGAGAGATGGGGCGGGCTGTCTTAGAGGAGGAGGCCAGAGTCTCTGACGAGTAGGGAGCCAGCCGTGCCGGGACTGGGCAGAGCGTGTTCACAGCACAGGTGGATGCAAGTGCAGAGCCCTGAGGGTGAAAGGCAGGGCTGCGGTGGGGCTTAGAGAGGAGAACAAGGGGTGGAGAGAAGTGGGGCAGAGTGGCTAGCCGCCCAGTCGGACCAGGCCTCATGGACTCTGGTGGCCACTTCAGATTCTCTTTTGGCTGCAGGTTTTAATCCCAACAGCAGTGCAACCTGGTCACACTTGAGAAACATGGGCAGCTGCCGTGGCAAGCACAAGTTGAAGCGGATGGATGTTAGTGGGCTTTGCTGTGGTGGGAGTGGGCATGATGACGGCATGGGCTGGGCATGGTGGGAAGGCTGGAGAGAAGCGGGAAGACCGGGTGCGTGAAGTGACCTCACCTGCCCACAACTCGCTGAGGTCACGGCAGGTGTGTGAGGAGGAATGGAGTATAGGAACTCCCGGGTCTTGGCCTGTGCAGCGGGTAGCGGGGGTGTCATGGGGACAGCCGCGGATAATGAGGGAGGGGCTCGGTGGACCCCTTGCTAGGTGGGGCCAGGCTCTGGCCCTCTTGTGCATCGCTTTTTGTACATCACGGTGTGGGCAGTGCTGTCCTGGGGCAATGTGGATCCATTATTCACTGCAGCACGGCACTACTGTTATCTTCTTATTTATTTGTTTAGTTATTGTTTATCCCCCAAATAGAATGAATGGCTTGCTGAAGTATCCCTTGTGCCTAGAACAACATTGGCACAGGGCAGGGGCTCGATGGATATTTGCTGAATGGACGGATAAAAGGATGGATGGTGGACACGTGGATGGTGGATGGATGGCCGAATGAATGGATGGATGGATGGTGGATAGATGGCTCTGACGGGGGAATGGGAAGTTTGATACGTTGCTTCAGAGCCCAGAGAGGTTGGGGGGGTGGGGGTAGGAGCAGCGGCCCTGCCATCCTTCCCTCCCTGAACCACCTGACCCTCACAGCCCGTCTCAAATGGGCAAGGGGTTCAGGCATCCAGGGAGACGCACAGCTGCTGCCACACCAGGGCTCAGCAGTCTAGTCTTCTGCCCACCACACCGTCTCTCCTGCCTTCAACACCACTCTCCCTCCCACCCCCAGGGCACGGGACCTCCCCTGGGATCTGACCCCTCACCTCCAACGTGGTCCCCAGAGGGCAGGAAGGAGTGCCTGGGACATTTTGCATGGCCTCCAAGGAAGCAGCAGTCAGGAGGCGCCACAGACCTGAGGTTTTGCAGAGGCGGGACAGCTGCCAGCACCCAGGGCCCCGCCCTGGCGACACGGAGGTGCTGCGGCCAAGAGGGTTCCCCTTTGGGTTCACTGCTGCTGCCCACCACCCGGATCTGGGACGGCAAGGCTGCTGGGGACACTTAGCTTAGCTGGGACAATGTCTCAGGAAGCAGGAAACAGTTGGATCTGCATAGTGGTGGCTGTGGAAAGTCAGCACACAAGGGAAGTCCCCTGCCCATCAGTGTGTAGAAGGAGGTCCTGTGTCCAGTCACGGCTTTCAGGACCAAAGGCTTCCGCAGGGGCCCCAGGCCAGGGCTGCTCTGACCCTCCCATTCCTTTCCCCTCCAACCCCCTCCAGTGTACAAAACGCAGCGCCTGCAGGTGTGCTCAGAAGAGGAACTCCGCAGAGTGGAGCTAAGTCTCCGACATGGGAGAGAGGGAGAGGATCCCCTCTAGAAACCTGGCCTGGGCTCACATGATCCTGTCCTGGTATGTCCCAGTGTCCAGCAGGAACTTCTTGGGTCCAAGACAAATCTCCAGCTTCTGGCTCCCTGCTGGGCACTCGGTAGGTGCCTGATAAATATTTGCAGGATTCTGTAAGAATCAGAATTCCAGTTGTGCTATCTGAGGAGTCCGACAGAAAAGCAGAAGAGGTTATACCAGTGGAGGGAAGGTGGTCTTGGGGTCTGAACAGTTCGTCCACTGCTGCTCAGGTAGGTGGTTTCACCCAGGGTCAGTTTTGTCTTCTGGAGATAGGCCAGGTGACCTGACTTCCTTCACCCTGGGGCACCTATCCCTTCCCTGCAACTGGAGAGCCGGTGTGGTCAGGAGCTGGCTGTCAGCACCCCAACCCCTTTCACCTTGCCAGCACTTAGGCCTCAGGCCCTGGTTCTTGGCGTGCCTTGTGTCCTCCTTTCCCTGGGGCAACATGGGCCCATCACACTGTAGAAAATGCTGGATTCTCCCATAGGTAACCTGTCTACTAGACAAAATACAGTGACTACCTATGTCCCATTCAGAGGAACAAGGACGCCAGGGCTCAGGTGACTCAGGAGTCCTGCAACCAAATTTGATTGGTCCCTAAGCCCCAAAGCCTTCAGCCATATAGCTTGCTAGCCATGTACAGATACTGATGACCCCCCCAAACACACAGTCATTCTCTTCCCAACCTCCCCGACATCCACATACCTGGGCAATGGCCACTCTGTGCAACTGACTCCTACCCCTCCTCCACCTTGGGCTGCTTGTAGGGTGCCATTACGGCAGTAAGGCGCTCCCTGGGCATCCAGATGCTGGTTGTGAGGGGGTGAATTGAGGGGCAGGCTGGAGGGAGGGGTGATCTTGGTGGGGTGGGAACTTGGAAGACTTCCAGGCTAATTTTGCCCACATTCAAAAGAGGAGTCTTAGAGAGCCTCTTTAGTTCAGCTTCTTCTTCCAGCTAATAGGAGAGAGTGTGCGTGCTCCAATTTCGGGGGAGAGGTTCAGATAATTTCAATAAAACCTGGAAAAAGCCATTGTAATGCCCACACAGCACAGTCTTAGAGCAGGCAGAGCCCCTGCTGTGAGGCCAGTCTTGGAGAGCCGTGGGCCTCCTGCAGTAGCGCCTCTCTGGAGGAGCGGGGCGAGTAGTTCCGGGAGCATAGTGGGTAGTTCTCAGGGTCCAGGGCATGTGCCACCCGGAGTCGCAGCCCCTTCTCCCACTTCTAGCCCAGGGTCCCAGTACTGGGATTCCCTGACCGAATGGCACCCATCCTGCTATTCCCGGATTCCATCTTGCCAAGGGCAGGCCGAGCCTTAGGCCCCAGGAAGCCAAGTGGGGGCACCATTTGCGGAGGTGGGGGGTGTAGACCGCTCCAGGACTGGCAAGTGGCGTCCACTCTCCAGCTGGGAGAGCCCTCTCCTGGTACCAGAGGGAGCCGAGCTGGGTAGAGACGCAGGACAGGCAGTGGGCCGGGCTTTTCACTTGTCCTCTCCGATCTTGGGAGCCAGGCGCCCGTTTCTGGAAGAAAAACCAAAGCTGGACTGGGAAGGACTCTTGTGGAGACCCGGACGTCAGGCGTGGCGCGTTGGGGAAGCAGCTCCACGGGGACCCAGGAGGCGCCGGCCGGGTTGAGCCGGGTTGGTTCCGACCCAAGAGAGCTCGTCCCACGACGGAGCAGGTCCCTTTGCATCCCGTGGGGCCGCCAGGTGCAATTTTCGCTGGGCCGACGGCGCGGAGATGGGCCAGAGTCCGGCCATCCAGAAGTGCCTGGAGCGCACAGCAAGGCCCTGCCCTCGGCTCCGTGAAGGTGAGGGGGTAAAGTCGGCCCGGAGTCCCCGGGGGTGCAGGAGGGGCCCCGCGGGTTCCAGCAGACCCTCGACGGAACGTTCCAGGCAGGCGAGATCTCGCACAGAATCTGCCCTTTTAAAGGCTCGGCTTTGTCCTCGTTAAACTTGCGTCTGGCAACGCGACCGCTGCGGCTCCCGAGCAAGATTAGAGGGTTTCCGCTCGCAGGGGCGCGCCCGGGGACCGCGCCTCCCCGCCTGGTCTCGGCGCCCCGGCCCAGGGGTCTTCAGTGGTGAGGGACGCCCAGATCGCTGCATCCCCTGGAGCTCTGCGCCCGGCCGAGCCACTCAGAGCTCCCGCCCCGCACACCCACTTCGAGCTCCAAGTCCTTCCTTTTCTATACTCCAAGTTGGATCCTGCTGGGAAGGAAGGGCCCTTCCTGAGAGACCAGGGATTGCGATTTCCCAGCACAAAGTCGAATTCATGACTTCAGCTTCAACGGGGCTGCATTCTCCCCTTGGCAGGAATGGGATGGAGCGAGGGTGAAGCTGCTGGAAAGACACTCGTTTTATTTTTTTAATCGTAAACGGGGCAACTTCCAACTCTGCCAGTTTTAAGCTTCTAGAGTATCTCCTCGGCGGAGCGCGGTGGCTCACGCCTGTAGTCCCAACACTTTGGGAGGCCGAGGCGGGCGGATCACGAGGTCAGGAGATCGAGACCATCCTGGCTAACACGGTGAAACTCAGTTTCTACTGAAAATACAACAAATTAGCCGAGCGTGGTGGCGGGCGCCTGTAGTCCCAGCTACTCCGGAGGCTGAGGCAGGAGAATGGCGTGAACCCGGGAGGCGGAGCTTGCAGTGAGCCCAGATCGCGCCCCTGCACTCCAGCCTGGGGGACAGAGCGAGATTCCGTCTCAAAACAACAGAAAAGAGCATCTCCTCTACCGAGAAGGGAAGACAGGGGAGTCCATCGGGTGCGCACTCCGCTGTCGCCCAGGCTGGGTTGCTGGGGCGCCAGTCTGCGGTGTTCAGGCCCAAAGCCTGCAGCCTGTTCAGTCCAGGGCACCGCAGGCGCCAGAACTCTGGCGGGCGGGCGGGCGGGCGGCGAGAAGGGCTGTCTAGGGCGCACGCCTCCCGCAGGGGCGTCAGAGGGTCGGGGCCGCAGGAAAGGGGGTGGGCGAGGACTAGCGAATGTAGAAGGGAAGGGCGCAGAGAACTTGACTTCCCACCTTTTGCGCTTTCCAGGCCAGCTCAGGGGCGAGTGTGGGCAGGGCGAGTGTGGGCAGGGCGAGTGTGGGCACGGCGAGTGTGGGCAGGGCGAGTGTGGGCACGGCGAGTGTGGGCAGGGCGAGTGTGGGCACGGCGAGTGTGGGCAGGGCGTGTGGGCACGGCGAGTGTGGGCACGGCGAGTGTGGGCACGGCGAGTGTGGGAGACCCTAGGTCTGCGCCACCGCCGGCGTGAGCCTGAAAAGCTGCTGGGAGAACCAGCTCCGAAACAGAGTGCCCGGAAGAGATTGTGACACCTATGGAAATTTAATGAATTGATAAAGGGATCGATTCGATTCAATGTGAGAATGTTAGTTTATTTAATAAATAGTGCTGGTATAGTTGTCGATCTAGAAGAAACTCAATCCTCTGGTTTTCGGTATACACAAAATTGGTTCTGGATTTATTATAGGTTTTTTGTTTTGCTTTACTTTTAGTCAAATCGTTGAAGAAATATTATGGGGCATTTTTCTAGGCTTTATTATTAACTATTATTATTCGATGAGACAACATCCTAAACTACACTTTTTGGCAAGCTACTCAGGCAGTATCTCTTACCATTTTAAATAAACATAACGTTTAACACAGCAATCCTAACTTGGGACAGCTATCCCACAAAAACAAAAGCACCTGGATAAGAGGAAACTGTAGGGGAAAGTGTTTTGATGGAAACCGGCATGAGGGCCCTCCTTTCCGGTTTTGATTCTATCGGGTCTCTGAGGCCTTCCGGGCTTTTGGGCTATTTTACAACATTGTAGCTGATTGCAATGCAAAAATAGCCCGGCCCCTAGACAGGTACGTGAATTCTGTTCCGTGGAGATTCGGTTGACTACGCTCCCCAACTGTGGAAGAGGCCAGCTGTGTGTCCATTTACACGTTCACTTTGCTATTCATCTATAAATGTGTCTGTTCTTTGGATTGTCCTTGGTTTAAACATCTTCATTATTGCCTCAATAATGAATTAAGATATTTAGTACACAATTATTTTGCATCTCTGAGTCATGATTTTACCTTTAATAAAAAAAAAAATCCTTTAGCAATATAACTGCAGAGGCACAAAACAAAACACCAAACAATGAACTGCCAGTTAGCAATGAAAACAATAAAATCTGTATGAGCCACTCGCAAGATGTCCATAGGTTGTTAGTTTTAAAAGGACATTATAACATATATGGCAGGATCCCATTTTTGTTTTTATTTTTTAAGATGGAGTCTCGCTCTGTCGCCAGGCTGGAGTGCAGCGGTGAGATCTCAGCTCACTGCAACCTCCACCTCCTGGGTTCAAGTGATTCTCCTGCCTCAGCCTCCCGAGTAGCTGGGACTACAGGTGTGCGCCACCACGCCCAGTATCTTTAGTAGACACGGGGTTTCACCGTGTTGGCCAGGGTCTCAAGCTCCTGATCTCATGATCTGCCTGCCTCCGCCTCGCAAAGCGCTGGGATTACAGGCGTGAGCCACCCGCACCTGGCAGGATCCCATTTTCAATTTTAAAAAGGAAAAAGCCATTAGCCTGGGCTATATAACAAACACAAAGCCACCCAGATAGCACTGAGTACCCCTCGGTTCAGATCCTGTGTTACACTGTGCTTTCCACTTCTAAGACATGCTGTCATTTGTGTGCCTGTCTTCCGAGTTTACTTCCTGTGTATGCACTGGTGGAGGCTAAAGGAATTCCATCTCGGATGAGAGGCTAGTCATTCTATTTTGGATGCTAAGCCACCAAGTGGAATTCTGATTAACCCCGTTCTGGGATCCAAGATCGTTCCTTGTGTAAGGGTAGGTAAAGAGGTATTCCCCGTAAATCGGCACTTAGGACAAAGTCGTACCCATTCCCTCTGAAGCACGGGTGCCCCTCCCCTCTAGTATAGAATCCCTGGGTCTTGAGGGGGTAGACACCATCTTCTCTGGCCACAGCTCAGGACATGGATGTGGCTTCTGCTCTCAGGCCCTGTTCAATGTTTTTAATTGTTTTGTTTTGTTTTGTTTTTTGAGATGGAGTCTTGCTCTGTCACCCAGGCTGGAGTACAGTGGTACGATCTCGGCTCACTGCAACCTCTGCCTCCCAGATTCAAGCGATTCTCCTGCCTCAGCCTCCTGAGTAGCTGGGATTACAGGCGTGAGCCAGCATGCCTGGCTAATTTTTGTATTTTTGGTAGAGATGGGGTTTCATTATGTTGCTCAGGCTGGTCTCGAACTCCTGACCTTGTGATCTGCCTACCTCGGCCTCCCAAAGTGTTGGGATGACAGGTGTGAGCCACAGTGCCTGGCCTCAATGTTTCTTTTTAAGAAACTGAATTTTTCAGCCTTTGGCCTCTCAGCTTCCTTGGACTTTGGAGTGGGTTTGCACAGGCCTGCCCACTACAAAACAGCGCTCTAACATACGCCATGCAAAAGTAAACATATAATCATTTTTAAACCTTTACATAATGTTTATTTTGCACATTTAAACACTTTATATAAAGGGTATGATATATGGAAGTTGTTTTTTAAATAAAAATTCTGATCAGGCGCAGTGGCTCATGCCTGTAATTGCAGCACTTTGGGAGGCTAAGGCAGGTAGATCATTTGAGAACAGGAGTTCGAGACCAGACTGGCCAACATGGTGAAACCCATCTCTTCTAAAAAAAAAAAAAAAAAAAAATACAAAAATTAGCTGGGTATGGTAGCATGCACCTGTAGTGCCAGCTACTCTGGAGGCTAAGAGAATTGCTTGAACCTGGGAGGCGGAGGTTGCAGTGAGCCGAGATCTCACCATTGCACTCCAGCCTGGGCAACAGACCAAGACTCGGTCTCAAAAAAAAAAAAAAATGTTTTTTTTAAATTCCTGAAGGACATAACAGAAGTCTGGAAGAAACGACAAGACACACCTTGTGTTTGGATAAGAAAATTAAATATTTTAAAGGTATTGATAATTCTTACATTTCAATCATTAAAAGACTGTAGTGCTGGAACTGGAATAGAGAAACTGATTGATGAAAAAGAATGAGGAGTCCACAGCTGTCCCATATATATATATATACACATCGGTATATATATATATACACATCTGTATATATATATATATACATCTGTATATATATACACATCTGTATATATATATATACATCTGTATATATATACACATCTGTATATATATATGAGAACTCAGTATATGAAAAATTATGATTTTACAAATCAATAGGGTGAAGTTTGACGATTAAGTAAATAACAATGGAATAACTAATTAGCTGATTGAGGGAAATTGCATGACTATTTTGCTGCACATAGCAAAATAAATTTCAGGTGATTCAAGTTGTAGCCTTTTGATCCAAATAATAAAGAAAACATAGATCAAACCACTAAAAACAGATTTCTCACCCGGGGCTCTTCATCTGAACCACACAACACAGAAAATGAACTGAGTGACTAATTTCTAAAACATCTACCAGTTCTACAAAACTGGTGTCATTCTAGATGTTTCAGACAGAAGTTAATGCCTTACATACAACAGGTGTCGGAAATTCGTGTTAATTCTCTCAGGAAAACTTCACTGCGAAAGGCTAAAAGACAAATAACCAACTTTAAAAAATAGTTGCAATGTGTGGCCAGGCGTGGTGGCTCATGCCTGTAGTCCCAACACTTTGGGAGGCCGAGGCCAGTGGATTGCTTGAGCTCACAAGTTCCAGACCAGCCTGGCCCACATAGTAAAACCCCATCGCTACTAAAAACACAAAAATTAGTCGGGCATGGCAGCGTGCATCTGTAGCCTCAGCTACTTGGGAGACTGAGGCAGGAGAATCGCTTGAACCCGGAAGGCAGAGGTTGCAGTGAACCGAGATAGTGCCACTGGACTGCAGCCTGGATGACAAAGTGAGACTATGTCTCAAAAAAAAAAAAAATTGGTTGTAACATGTATGAATAGGAATTCATATCCCTAATCCACAAAGCTCTCAGACGCTAATAAAAGATGACTATATCAATATACAAATACACAACACAGAGGCAATGCAGAAAAGAAAAATGTAAATTGCCAATAAACATGAAACTTTTAACTCTCACTAGCAATTAATGAACATTTTAAAATAAGCAAACAAGAAGACATCACTCTCAGTTAACAAATTGTCAAAAATGGTACAGGTTAACAAGGAGGTGCTGAAACCAATACTCAGGTTCTTTTGGTGGAATTCAAACCAGTGTAATTTTTCTAGAAGGCAGTCTGGCTCAAGGAGATAATTAGGTAGGAGTGCAATTGTGTAATACAGGGGTTGTGATTCCAGACTTTTTAATAATATATATAAAAAACTACTCACAACTTGAGTATCCATCACTAAAGGCCCGTTTAAAGATTATTCTATGGGACGGGTGTGGTGGCTCATGCCTGTAATCCCATCACTTTGGGAGGCCGAGGCAGGTGGATCACCTGAGATCAGGAGTTTGAGACCAGCCTGGACAACATGGTGAAACCCCAGCTCTCCTAAAAATACAAAAATTAGGTGAGGCTGGGTGTGGTGGCTCACGCCTGTAATCCCAGCACTTTGGGAGGCCGAGGCAGGCGGATCACCTGAGGTCAGGAGTTCGAGACTGGCCTGATCAATATGGTGAAAGCCCATCTCTACTGAAAATACAAAAATTAGCCGGCTTTGGTGGCGGGCGCCTGTAGTCCCAGCTACTCGGGAGGCTGAGACAGGAGAATCACTTTGAACCCGGGAGGCAGAGGTTGCTGTGAGCCGAGATCACACCACTGCACTCCAGCCTGGGCGAAAGAGGGAGACTCCATCTCAAAAAAAAAAAAAAAATTATGTGGGCGTGGTGGTACATGCCTGTAATCCCAGCTACTCAGTTGGCTGAGGTTGGAGAATCGCTTGAACCCAGGAAGTGGAGGTTGCAGTGAGCTGAGATCACGCCATTGCACTCCAGCCTGGGTGACAAGAGTGAGACTCAGTCCCAAGAAAAAAAAAAAAAAAATTCTTCTGTGAAGTGCTGTGAGCACGAGAATGCCGGCTGACAGCCACCACTGCTGCCATCACCATCCACCTCCCTCCAGGGGCTTCATTCTTCACTTCATCGAGCTGCCTCCCCGTCCCTTGTCCCTACCCCTTGCCCTGCTTCTGCAGGAGGTAACCCTGCTGAGGGTCGGGGAGCAGGGCTGCAGGCACAGGGAAACTTCCTTCCCACTAAATGGGTAGCAGGGATGGGACAGGGAAGAGGAGTTGGAAGAGAGGAGAGAGATGAAAGAGGGAGGGGAAAAAAACCAAGAATAAAAATCATATCTAGAGGCACATGAAAAAATAAAAATTAAATATTAAAAAAATCAGGCCTGGCGCAGTGGCTCACACCTGTAATCCCAGCACTTTGGGAGGCTGAGGCAGGTGGATCATTCGAGGTCAGGAGTTCAAGACCAACCTGGCCAACATGGTGAAACCCCGTCTCTACTAAAAATACAAAAAATTAGCCGGGCACGGTGGCACACCCTGTAATCCCAGCTACTCGGGAGGCTTAGGCAGGAGAATTGTTTGAACGCGGGAGGCGGAGGTTGCAGTGAGCCGAGATCACTCCATTGCATTCCAGCTTGGGCAACAAGAGCAAAACTCCGTCTCAAAAAAGAAAAAAAAATTTAATTTAAAAAAGTTTTCTATGAACCCTCCAATAAGAGAGGTAAGCATACATATAAATAAGTGAATTGTGAGTAAAATAAGTGCATAATAAGCAATATCGCATAAAAATTGTACCATGAACTAGGCTCCATGCTGTTTCTTTTGAGAGGGTTCAGACCAAGGCGTTTCCCAGACGAGGCAGGTCCCTTCCTGGGAATGACCCCTCATCAGCCTCAGACGGTTTCGTCTTAGAAAAGTTTGCCCTAAATCAAATGGTTTCTTCTCTATCAGAAACCACATATGTTAAAATGTGCCGCTGATTTAAAAGTTGAAGGCAGATGTTGAAGACTTCTACAGGCAAAACTAATCAAATCTGATTGATGTATTTTTTATAAGACATTGGAGAGCATTCCTTGATGTTGAGATTTGCACAGGTTTGTTGGAAGTGGGATAGACTAGAGTTAAGGGAACCTATGCGACAATAAGTCAGAAAATACGGGGTCAGAAAAAGCCAAGTGTCTGCTGGAATGGAAAGGAGGGGACACTCTGAAGAGATATTTCGGCTGGGCTCAGTGGCTCACACCTGTAATCCCAGCACTTTGGGAGGCCGAGGCGGGCAGATCACGAGGTCAGGAGATTGAGACCATCCTGGCTAACATGGTGAAACTCCGTCTCTACTAAAAATACAAAAACAAAATTAGCCGGGCGTGGTGGCGGGCACCTGTAGTCCCAGCTACTCGGGAGGCTGAGGCGGGAGAATGGCGTGAACCCAGGAGGTGGAGCTTGCAGTGAGTCGAGATTGTGCCACTGGACTCCAGCCTGGGCGACAGAGCAAGACTCTGTCTCAAAAAAAAAAAAAAAAAAAAAAAAGGTATTTCTAGGACAGAATAAACAAAAGTCAGTGACTGATTGAGATGGCGGGGTGGGCAATGGGGAAGGGATGTATAGGTAGACTCTTAAGTCAGAAGCCTTACTGAAATCAGCCAGAAAGAGCTGGGATCTTCTTCAATCGTGATCTCAATTAATGAAGGCCCTCACCTCCTAGCCCTTCAATCATCTCCACTCACCAGCAACTGTCTTCATCAATATCACCCTTCAGCAGGCAGCTCCACCGAGGCATCTTGCCCTGTCTCTTCCAGTAGCTCACCTCCCCAGACTTCCTCCACTAATCACCCCAGTGAGAATTCACCATGATCTCCCATTTTTAAATTTCTAATCACTGAGCTGACCCTCACCATGCATCTGCTTCACCCATAGATGGAAAGGAAGCCACCCCATTTTCTTGTCTTTTCACGAGGGCCGCAGGCTGGGGATCACCTTGGTGGTACTTGTTTGACCTCAGTTCCAGGACTTGGATGGCTCAAGGCTGAGGGGGAGCATGGGAGGGGGTGGGGGGCAGGGCAGATGGCCGGCAGGGGCTGGGTGCAAGGTAGGGTACCAGTCCTCAGACTGGTGTGACAAAGCAAAGGCGCCTCCTGTGGAGGGCTGGGAAGGGAGGGCATGGCTGTAGGGGTGAGGGAAGCAGGTCACTGGTGGTGGTGGTGCTGCGTAAGAATAGGGGCAAGCAGTGGACTCTGGCAAGAAGCTGGAAAAGGCGGCAGGAGACAGATGGGCCAGAGGCTGAAGCAGTGAGCGCTCTTGCTTCCGTTGCTTAGCTCTGCGGTTCTGGAACCAGACCTGAGAAGGGGTAGGAACCACATCAGAGCCCACACTTGACATAGGTGGTGACACCCTACTCCAATGACAAGAGGTGCAGGGACAGGGAGCAGGCTTCTCCAGCATGGCCAGAGGGAGTAAAGCTCTTCCACAAGGCTTGGCTGAGCCTGGTCTGCTGACAAAGGAACCCACAGACTTGTCCCCAGCCTCTGTCCACATGTGCCCTTTTCTAACACTCGGGGCAAGTAAGAAGTGTCAGCTTCCACCAAGGAGATAAATATGGTGACAATGACATTTCCCTTCCCCAGAGAATGGGAAATTTCCCCTAGGGTTAAGTTTAACGATTAAGACTGTAGATAAATGTAATTGCTATAGACAAGCTTGAATTTAGGGTAGGGTTTACACTTAAGGCTAACCAACCCTGGGGTTAGGATTGAGGGAGCATTTGGCTCATTGAGTTTCAAGGCTATGGTTAGGGACAAGCTTCTGTAAGAATATGGACAGTTAGGATTGAACTTCTGTTGGAATTGGCATCACTATTTTTTTTTTTTTTGAGACAAAGTTTTGTTCTTGTTGCCCAGGCTGGAGTGCAGTGGCATGATCTTGGCTCACTGCAACCTCCACCTCCCGGGTTCAAGTGATTCTCCTGCCTCAGCCTCCGGAGTAGCTGGGATTAATTATAGGCACCTGCCACTATGCCTGGCTAATTTTTTGTATTTTTAGCAGAGATGGGGTTTCACCATGTTAACCAGGCTGGTCTCGAACTCTTAACCTCAGGTGATCCATCCAGCTTGGCCTCCCAAAGTGCTGGGATTACAGGTGTGAGCTATTGTGCCCAGCCGGAATTGGCATCACTATTAAATATTGAGGGTAGGTGTTGAAATTCAAGTTAGATTAGCTTATAGCTAGGGTTAAACTCAAGTGATATGATATTCTCAATGCAGTTGCTCTGATGCTGGTGGTGAGATGAGGCCTGTGTCTGGTGACCATTTAGGTTAGGGTTATAATGCCCAACATTCTATGATAGCACCAAAGAAATCTGCATTTCTTTCCTGAGAGAGGAGGATCCTGGAGCATCACCTGGATTCGGGCCTCACTGAGGCCAGTGTCCCGGGCAAGACTCTCTCGGGCCCAGATGTCGGGGTACTGGTTCCTCCCAAAGGCTGACTCCAGCTGTTCCAACTGCACTGGGCTGAAGGTGGTGCGGTGGCGGCGCCGGGAGTGCGGGCGGCCCCTCTGTCCTCCTTGCGGGGAGAACCTTGATCTCCCCCCTCCTGCACCAGGGAGCCTTCTGCAGGGTGGAGCACTCGAGTCTGAGAACGGAGAGAAGGGAGGGGCGGCTTCTGAGGAGGACGCTCCTCGGTGCTGGACCACATGTGCCTGTCCCGGGATTGCGCTCAGTGCGTCCTGTGCTGCTCCAGTCTTTTTTTGAGACAGAGTCTTGCTCTGTCTCCCAGACTGGAGTGCAGTGGTGTGATCACAGCTCACTGCAGCCTCGAACCCCTGGGCTCCAGTGATCCTACTGCCTTAGCCTCCTGAGTAGCTGGGACTACAGGTGCACACCAACATACCCAGCTAATTAAAAAAATAAAAAATTAGAGATGGGGTCTTGCTATCTTGCCCAGGCTGGTCTCAAACTCCTGGCCTCAAGCAGTCCTCCCATGTCAGCCTCTCAAAGTGCTGGGATTATAGGCCTGAGCCACCGCACCCAGCCCTGCCCCACCGGGAATCTTTTAGCTGCCATAGCCTGGTTCCTGCACCTGCTCAGCCTCGGCCCCTGGTTGCCTCTGAGTCTCTGACACCAGGCTGTGCTGTCTACACAGGGCACACCCTCAGACTCATTCCTGGCCCTGGCACTCATGCACTGTCTACCTGGCAACTCTACTGTCTGCCCACTTCCTATTGCACCGCCAGACACATACCCCTCCATGTACGTTCACCCTTCTGGACACACACGACCACCTGGGGCTCACCCTGTGGGTCTGCTGTGTGCACCTGCACCCTAACAATCGTCCCAGCTGTCTACGGAAGACCCTAGTGCTTGTCCCCTGCTGGCGAGGCTCCTGTTCAACCTGTGCCTTCTTCAGACTGCTGCCATCTCCCGCACCCCTCACCTGGGAAGATGGGCACCCCCCTCTTCCGCTCAGACACACCCTCCCCTACTTACTTTTCATCTCCTCCCTACCCCTGCCCTGGCCCAGCCACCAGGCTGCAGGAACTTGAGCTCGTGGGAAAGGCTTGCCTTCCTCCCCACAGGCTCCCTAAGCCCCCACACTAATTAGTCTGAGAGCTGTTGGGGAGGAGAGAACGGGGAGGGAAAGGACACACCTGGAAGGCGCACACCAAGAAAAGATGTCTGGAGCCGAGGCACCATCCCCATGGGGCCCAAGGGCGTGGACCCTCCTAGAGCTCACTGTCCACCATGGGGGACACACACACGGAGCCCGCCCTCCCGCCCTGGACCCAAAGCCCTGGCCCCTCCAGCTCCCTTCATCAGAGAAGGCAGTGGCTTGGGCTAACCAACTCTGAGGTCAGGAGTGAGGGGACAGAGGTAACTGTCTCACATCCCCACTGCGATGTGAGCTGTTCAGCCGCCCCCTCCTGCCAAGGGCTCAGTTCCCCAGTCTGTAAAGCCAAGGGGTGCTCCAGTCCCTTTTACTTTCAAAGGTTCCCACAGTTTTAACATGATAGGATTCGGGTTTTAATTTCTCCTCCTAACCTTCTTCATGGAGCCTATGCTTTCAGCCTCACACCCGCTGCCTCCTCAGGGACCCACGCACACCGGGACGGTCACTCACCCACCGTGGTGGTCGGGGTCCCAGTGGCCGGGTGTCTCTCAGGCAACAGGCTGCTGCCGACTCGCCCCTTCTTTGGCTTCTCGGCCTGGCGCCTCCTTTCTGCTTCCATGGCTCGCCACGGGGACCAAGTGTCCCTGAATCTCTGACTTGAGATTTCTCTGCTTCCGCAGCTCCTCTCCACACCTGTTCCCTCCCCTTCTCCCTCTGTGTATGCCACCCTCTGGGACTCTGTCTCTGAATGTGTGTGTAGGTGCAGGCAGCTGTCTCTGACTTTTTCACTGTCTTTA